>NC_000005.10:180124248-180274693 GCF_000001405.40 Homo sapiens | reverse complement strand
TCTCACAAAGCTGAAGTCAAGATTTCGACTGGGCTGGGCTCAGCTCACAGATGGAGGTTCTGGAAGGGTATCTGCTTCCAAGCTCCTTCAGCCTGTTGGCAGAGTCTAGTTCCTTACAGCTTTAGGTCTGTGGTTCCCAATCTCTTGATCTCTTTCAGTCAGGCGCTGCTGTCTGCTCCCAGAGGCTGCATGTTTTCCTTCTCAAGTGACCTCCTCCATCTTCAAGGCAGCAGTGGCATGCCCAGTCCTTCCCATACTCACATCTCCCTGATTTTCCACCCTTTCCATGAGCCAGAGCAAACTCTGCCTTTAAAGGGCTCTCGTGATAAGAATAGGCCCACCTGGATAATCTGCGTTTTGTTAAATTAATGAGTACGTTTAGCCCTTTTGCAAGATGCAGGGTCAGTATATGTACCCCTCCCCCTGCAAAATTGCATATTTATATACTAGCAGCATATAGAAAATGAAAATTTGAAAAGGATACCACTTAAAATAGGATAAAAACTTTTAAATTATCATATCTGGAGGAAAAATCTAACAATATGAAAGACTTGTATACAAAAAGCTAAAAAAATTAGAAAAAATAGAGAAAACTGAAATCGTGGTGGGATGTCTGATTTTCAGAGTTAGAATATTTAATACCATGAAGGTCATTTTTCAGACTTGTCTAGAGTGATTGCAATCAAATCTCAGTCGTCTTAAAAAACAAAGAAATGAACAAACTGATTTTAAAATTTATATGTAAAAATAAAAACCCTAGAATGGTCAAGACACCCATTAAGAAGGGAGGAACACTCCCTCTGCGAGATGTGAAGACTTACCATAAAACTGGTGATCAAGCTGGTGTCGTGTGGTGCAAGGAGAAACAGTGGACTAGCCCTGAAACAGAGTCATGCATGTGTGGGCTTCTGACTTATGGCAGTGGTGGCCTGTGGAGCAATGAGGAAAGGCTAGCCTTTTAAATAAATGGACATAGGAATGTTCATGTAGAAAAAAGTGAAATTTGACCCCAACCTCATATTATACACAAAAGTGAATGTCAGTTGAATTGCTGTAAATATATAAGGCAAGCCAGTAAAGCTATTTGAACATAATATAGGAGAATGTCTTCATGATCTTTGGGGTAGGGAAGGACTCCTTTAAACACAACATAAAAAAACATTTATCTGCTGGATGTGGTGGCTCATGCCTATAATTCCAGCACTTTGGGAGGCCAAGGTGGGAGGATCGCTTGAGGCCAGGAGTTCAAGACCAGCCTGGCCAACATAATGAGACTCCCCCCATCTCCACTTTAAGAAAAAAAAAAATTATCATAGAAGATTGATCAATTTTGTATTAAAATTAAGAAATGTTGTTTATTTTAAAAAACCAAGATCAAGAAACTGAAAAGATAAGCATAGATGTGAGAAGATATATGACTGAAAAAAAATCTCTTGTTCAGAATATGTAAAGAACAACAGTCAAGAAGATTATAAAGATAGACAAACAAATAGTCAATAGGTTGTCACAGGAGGATACCCAAATAACCTATAAACAGGAAAAGTGCTCAATGCCGTTATTCATCAAGATAGTGCAATTTAAAACTGCGACGAAATACCATTCCACACTCAGCAGAATGGTTAGAAACTAAGCTGTTGGTGATACCAAGTGCTGGTGAGGATGTGGAACCACCCAGAGGCAGCTCTCAGATGTGACCCCTCGTGTACTGGAACCACGCAGAGGCAGCTCTCAGATGTGACCCCTCGTGCACTGCTGGCAGCTGTACAAATTTGTAGAAACGCTCTGGCAAAGAGTTTGACATTATCTACTGAAATACAATGGATACGTTCCCACTCTTAGTTGTCTACTCATCAGAAACACATGCATAGGGGATCCGGAGCTGCGTACAGGAATGGTGATGACTGTGTGTTCTGTAATAGATTGAAAACTAAAAACAACTGAAATATCTATCAACGTAATGTGATATAGTTATACAAAGGAATCTTATAGCAATGATGGAAGGAGTTATAGCTACATACAGCAACAATGGATGAGTCCCATAATATTGAGCCACAGAAGTCAGACACAGAAGATTTCAAAAAACAGGCAAAAATAAACTGGGAGCTCCAGGGTGCATGCTTTAGCTGGTAAAGCAAGAAAGTGATTATTGTACATGTCAAAGCAGTTATCACTGGTGGACAGGAGGGACACTAATTAGTTGGGGGTGTGAGAAGCTTTTGGGATACAGAGAGAACATGACTGATAAATCATTGAGCTGGGAAACAAAAAAAGAAGCAAAGGAATCAGTACAGTATCGGGCATAAGCCTCCTCACTGTCAGCACTCAGTGTGGAAATCAGTGGAAAAGTGCCTTCAAAGTTCTCACAGAAAATTGATTTTAAACTCAGAAAACTTATTATCAATCAAGGGTGGGGGCAGAGCAATACCATCTATCTTCCATGCACCTTTTCTGAGGAAATTCCTTGAGGATGTACTCCAGCAAGAGAGGCAACACAAGAGCGTAATGCAAGAAGCAGTGGGGACTGTGAAAAGAAATCCCAGGATGGTGGCTGCATGGCAGGTCTTAAGGAAGCTGCAAGAAGAGTGTCTGCAAATCATGTGGAGGAGATGCCAGACAACAATAATGTAAGAAGCTAGGAAGTGCCAGTGATAGGCTAAAGAGTGTCTGCAAATCATGTGGAGTAGGTGCCACACAACAGATAATGTGAGAAGCTAAGATGTGTCAATGATAGGCTAAAACTGGCATTTTTTATTAGTAAAAACTAATAATAATCTAGAATGTAATAAAATCTATTATTTATTAGAAATGTGTGGGGAAAACTAGAAAAAATCATGGTCTAATTATGAAACAAAGAGGACATGATGTTTGAGCAGTTGATGAAATATAAGAGAATCCTTTGTCCTTGATCCTGGAAATAGTCTCACCCTCTTATGAGTGGCAGCAAGAGCCATGTGATCTTTAGAAAATGAAATGTAATCCCAACTCTGGCCGTTAGTGATATTTACATTGTACACATACACACCTACACTCCATGTATTGATTTTCAACTTCTAGAAACATCCTAAAGAAGAAATACAGAAGACTTAGTTATGAATATATGGTAAATGGAGGAGAAAGGGATGGAACAGTCTCATTTTACGTAAGCAGAAGTCAAGACGTTCCCTTCAGAGTTGAAGAAGCGTGAAGATTAGGGGTGTTACTTAAAGACGTAACCAGGGAAAACCCAAAAAGCAGAACAACAAAAAAAATAGGAGGTGTTGGCGATTGGGGATTTCAAGGAAGTGGCCAAATACTCAGTTTTCGTAATGGGGAGTAGGTGAATCATTTCTAAAGCTGATAAATGAAGAGATAGTGATAACAATGTATTCTTTGAGTGACCGCAATAACCACAACCAGGAATAACTGAAGGTAGTTCCTCATGGAGCTGAGCTACAAGTGGGGAAGCTTATGCCCACTTAGATGCTTAGACTTGGTCCATTTGCCTTGTTTTAGCCAAAAACTTTTTTAAAATGACAAATAAAAATTGTATATATTTATCATGTCCAGCATATTGTTCTGAAATATGTATACATTATGGACTAGCTAAATTGAGCGAATTAACATATGCATTACCTCACATACTTTTTAAAAGTTTCTGATGAGAACAAATCTACTCTCATCAATTTTCAAGAATACAATACATTGTTATTAACTGCAGTCACCATATCTCACAGTAGACCTCCTGACCTTATTCCTCCTATCTAACTGAAATTTTGGACAAAAACTTTTGATACCAAAAAAGTGTGTCTGTTTTCAAATTCTTTTTTTCTTTTTCTTTTTCTTTTTTTTTTTTTTTGAGACCCTGGGCAACAGGGTCTCAGTCTGTCACCCAGGCTGGGGTGCAGTGGAGGGATCAGTGCTCACTGCAGTCTCGACCCCCGGCTCAAGCAGTCCTCCCACCTCAGTCCCCTGAGTAACTGGGTCTACAGACATGCACCACCACACTCAGCTAATCTTTGTATTTTTTGTACAGACAAGGTTTCACTGTATTGCCCAGGCTGGTCTCAAACTCCTGGGCTCAAGCGATCTGCCTGCCTTGGCCTCCCAAAGTGCTGGGAATACAGGCATAAGCCACCACACCTGGCCTATTTTCAAATTCTTGAGTCTGAGAAGTATATAGGTATAAATACATACATGGCTACATGTATGTCAATGACTTGTTTCACAAGTGGATATATCCTTCTCATTTTATAATTCATATAAATGGTGCAATTTGCATATGAACCTGTGGATTTACATATGTATATAGACAGACACATAATATGAACTGAATTAAAGTAAGGTAGCTTCTTAACCAAATGCTACAACAGATAGCCTTCAACTTTAAAACAGATTGAATTAGGTTCGAGTTTGGCAAAAGCATTAATAGAAGAGAATAAATGTAAACAATGTTATAAACTCAATGGAATAAAGAAATAGAAACAGTATTTAAATCAGTGCTTAGGTTCTCAGGTGGCCTTTAGTAGCTGTTAGCCCTCATGAGTAGCCCAGAGGTGATAATACAAATGATACTATTTAGTACCAGTTTGAAACCTAAAAATGTGTAATCAGGCTACTTGATTCTTCATGTCTATTTTCTGGAGGAAAATGAACAGAATTTCAACAGGAAACGAGATGCTGGAAACACAGCCTGTAGATTTTATTCTTACTATAGTAGTAGGAGGAGATAGTTCTAAAAGAACTTTATATAGCAGTTGCTTACGTTAGAGATTTTGTATCTTGAACATTTACCATGAGCTGAAATTTTGGCTTCTTTTCTTTTTAGATACTGTTATTTGTGAAAAAAACACAGTGATTCAAAATTTAGATTTATTCTCCTCATGAATTCAGCCATTTCCTCTACTGTGATATTCCAAAATATACACATTTTAAGACAGGAAACAGTGACTTTGTTTCCAACTTCTTGTCATGTTTAAACTGAAGATTTCATTTCTTGACTGGTTTTATGCACTCTATATTAAATTACCTGGTTTTGAATGTAATCTAAACTATGAAACCTTGGTGTGTGAAGGATTGCTGAACCCCATCTTAACTGTGGCTGAAATGTGCCTCTGCAAAGGAGTTAGTACATGCTGTAGTCTTAGACAACTCACTCTGCTCTTCATATGTGCAAGTACCTTGAATGAAATAAGCAGATTTTTCCTTGTTACTTATTAAAAAGATGATATATTCAATGTATATTCTGGCATTGCTGTATTTTCCAAAACCGTTCTAATGGATTGTGCATTATATTTCCTAATTCTAGTGCTGCATTTGATACAGTTCTTGGGATAAATGTTGCAGTCAAGAAACTAAGCCGTCCTTTTCAGAACCAAACTCATGCAAAGAGAGCTTATCGTGAACTTGTCCTCTTAAAATGTGTCAATCATAAAAATGTAAGTTATGTATGTATTTTGTCTGTGTGCTTCCATATTGTCAATAATGTGGTAATCTTCAGGGTTTTCTGGAGATACATTGAGTTCAGACCTAGGATAAGCTAAGGATAAAAATGGCTATTAACATTGGTTTTTTGTTTTTTGTTTTTTTGTTTTTTTGTCGCCCAGGCTGGAATGCAGTGGCGCAGTCTCGGCTCTCTGCAAGCTCCACCTCCCGGGTTCATGCCATTCTCTTACCTCAGCCTCCCAAGTAGCTGGGACTACAGGCGCCTGCCACCACGCCCGGCTAATTTTTTGTATTTTTAGTAGAGATGGGGTTTCACCATGTTAGTCAGGATGGTCTTGATCTCCTGGCCCCATGATCCACCTGCCTTGGCCTTCCAAAGTGCTGGGATTACAGGCGTGAGCCACCATGCCCGGCCTATTTTTTATTGATAACATTCTTTTTTTTTGGAGACGGAGTCTCGCTCTGTCGCCCAGGCTGGAGTGCAGTGGTGGGATCTTGGCTCGCTGCAAGCTCCACCTCCCGGGTTCATGCCATTTTCCTGCCTCAGCCTCCTGAGTAGCTGGGACTACAGGCGCCCGCCACCACGCCCGGCTAATTTTTTGTATTTTTAGGAGAGACAGGGTTTCACCGCGTTAGCCGGGATGGTCTCGATCTCCTGACCTCATGGTCCGCCAGCCTCAGCCTCCCAAAGTGCTGGGATTACAGGCGTGAGCCATGGCGCCCGGCTGATAAAATTCTTAATAAACATTGAGGAAATCAAAGCTAGAAAGAGGCATCATTATGGTGCATAGGAATTTAGGTCACTTAACCAAAGTAGGAATATCAATTGATACTCTGTTTCTATAAAATAGGAACAGTATTGATCTAACAAATTGAGAAACAACTAAATATTTTGTGGAAAGATGTTGTTCTATAAGTAGGTTTTTACCTTGTATATGACACACCAGTTTCAAATACACGTTATTAGATGATGTTACATTTAGAGTAGCTATTCTTGGAAGCTCCACAGAAATCAAAGCACTAAATTTTACGGAGAAATAATGTTTCTAGAAAATGAAGTTGGGTTCAATCAAGCACATTGTTTGTTCTCCTAGTGGTCGCTGAGCATTATGTTGATAACGTTGCCATGTTATAAAATTACAAAATGTTGGCCGGGTGCAGTGGCTCACGCCTGTAATCCCAGCACTTTAGGAGGCCGAGGCGGGTGGATCATGACGTCAGGAGATAGAGACCATCCTGGCTAACATGGTGAAACCCCATCTCTACTAAAAAGTACAAAAAATTAAGGAGGGTGAGGTGGGAGAATGGCATGAACCCGGGAGGCAGAGCTTGCAGTGAGCTGAGATAGCACCACTGCACTCCAGCCTGGGCGACAGAGCGAGACTCCGTCTCAAAATAAATAAATAAATAAATAAATAAAATATAAAACGTGAAATCTGGTTTTTTTTGTTTTGTTTTTTTGAGACAGGGTCTCATTCTGTCACCCAGGTTGTGATTCTCCCACCTCAGCCCTCCAAGTAGCTGGGACCATAGGCGTGCGCCACCATGCTTGGCAGTTTTTAAAATTGTTTGTAGAGGTGGGGTCTTACCACCTTGTCTAGGCTGATCTTAAACTCCTGAGCTTCCTTCTTTTGAGTCTGTGGCTTGAGTTGGTTTAAATTTCTCTAATGCATGCTTTATTTTACTTTTTCTTTTTTTTTTTTTTTTTTTTGAGACGGAGTCTCGCTCTGTCGCCCAACCTGGAGGGCAGTGGCGCGATCTCAGCTCACTGCAAGCTCCGCCTCCCAGGTTCACGCCATTCTCCTGCCTCAGCCTCCCGAGTAGCCGGGACTACAGGTGCCCGCCACCACACCCAGCTAATTTTTTGTATTTTTAGTAGAGACAGGGGTTTCACCATGTTAGCCAGGATGGTCTCGATCTCCTGACCTCGTGATCTGCCTGCCTCGGCGTCCCAAAGTGCTGGGATTACAGGCGTGAGCCACCGCACCCGGACTTGTTTTACTTACTTATTTAAAAAATTTTTTCAGGTTACAAAAAATATATATTATTTTTAAAAATTCAAACAATATAAAAAAGTAAAAACTCCTGAATACCGCCACCCACAGATTACTAGCATTAACAGTTTGGTGAGCATTCTTATGCATACATGTGCACAAGTACATAAACAAGATTAATCGTGTTATTCTTCATCCTGCTTTTCTCCTCGTGCAATGTTGGTAGACCTCATATACTTTAATGAACATAGATATGAGCCAGTTTTTAAATGGTTGCATAGCACAGATGCACAGTAATTTATTTAAGAGACTGCCAGCCGCCTGTTGTTGGATAGATTGTTTTGTTTCTCACTGTTATAAGCAGTGCTGCAATGAACATTCTAACGCCTGAATTTTTGCATACTCGTCCAGGTGAATTTCTTGGCCAACATTGTCAGGTCAGAGTACACACACTTCTAGTTTAAAATATACTGACAAATTGACCTCAAGGAAGACTATTAGTTTGATATTTTCATTAAGAGTATTTGAGAAGCTGGGCACGGTCACTTCACCTGTAATCCCAGCTACTTGGGCTGAGGCAGGAGGGTCGCTTGAAGCCAGGAGTTTAAGGCACACCTGGGCAACAAAACAAGACCCCATCTCCTAAAAAAAAAAAAGTATCAGCCGGGCGCTGTGGCTCACACCTGTAATCCCAACACTTTGGGAGGCCAAGGCAGGTGGATCACCTGAGTCATGAGTTTAAGACCACGTTGGTTGGCCAGCGTGGTGAAACCCCGTCTCTACTAAAAATACAAAAATTAGCTGGGCGTAGTGGTGGGCGCCTGTAATCCCAGCTCATTGGGAGGCTGAGGCAGGAGAATCACTTGAACCCAGGAAGCATAGGTTGCAGTAAGCCAAGATTGCGCCATTGCACTCCAGCCTGGGGGACAAGAATGAAACTCCATCTCAAAAAAAAAAAAAAAGTGTCTGAGAACGTCTGTTACTTCAGAATCCCCCAGCACTACATACTGTTGATTTTTTTTGTTTTGCTTTTGCCAATTTGATAAATAAATGATATTTTATTTTTATTGGTGAGGTTGTTACTTATTTTTATGTGTTTTGGTAATTTAATTTTTATGGCCTTTATCCATTTTTCTTTTGGACTGCTGGTCTCTTCTGCATTTGTAGGAGGGTTTTTTTTTTAAATATTAAAACTATTGCCCTTTACTTTTTTTTTTCCATTTGACATTATTTATGTTGTTGACATACTGATTTTTTATCACCCATTTTTTGTTTCATTTTAATGTAATCAGATCTCTTAGGTTTCCTGTCATGTTTAGAAAAGATTTTCTACGCTAGGATTATATAAATGTTTATCTATATTCTGAGGTTTTATTTCATGTTTTAGATTTAAGTCTTTGTTCCATTTAGAGTTTTTCTTGGTATAAAGATTGAAATATGGATGCAGTTTTATTTTTGTCCTTAGCTAACCAATCACCCCAATCCTGTATAATGGATAATTCATCTTTCCCTCAGTCATCTGGAATGACTGAGGTTATGTGTTTGGTGCCTAAGCCGTGGGACTCGCTGTTTACACCATGGGCTGTGTACTGGTTCGTTCCCGCACTGCCATAAAGAGATACCCAAGACAGTGTAACTTATAAAGGAAAGCGGTTTAAATAACTCATAGTTGCGCATGATGTGGGAGACCTCAGGAAACTTGCAATCATGGCGGAAGACGAAAGGGAGGCAGGCACCTTCTTCACAAGGCGGCAGGAGAGAGAAAAGTAAAGAGCAAAGTGGGCAGTGCTCCTTAGAAAACCATCAGGTCTCCTGAGAACTCACTCACTGTCACAAGAACAGCACGGGGGAAACCGCCCCCATGATCCAGTCACCTCCCACCAGGTCTCTCCCTAGACACGTGGGGATTATGGGGATTACAATTCAAGATGAGATTTGGGTGGGGACACAGCCAAATCATGTCAGGGTGCCAGGATGGAGGCCTGCCGCAGGATCAGCTCTTTAACCCTCTTTAGGTAAAAATATGATGCTACGAGGCCTTTCACTTTATCACACCAAAAACAAGAGCTTAGCCTTCATATTTCAAACCTTTTTAGAAATTTGTGCGTAGTATTTAAGTTTTCAGAGTTAACATACTGCTTTAATGTCTTTTTACCTGTAAATTCTACTTTTTTATGTTCAAAAAGACATTATGTGTTTAAATTCTGTAATAATTAAGTTACTAGGGACACATAAAAGTGATTTGATTAAAAGTGCATCTTTCCTTTAATTGATGTTTAACTTTTCTCAAATGCCATGTAATTGGTAAAAGCAGTAATAATAAGAAGTACTGAATTCTGCTGTGATTTTTTTCCCGTCTTAATGCATTTCAATATTAAACTTAATTTTTGTAATCAAGTAATCTGACATATTGAAGTATAATTAATTTTCTCTTTTCAGATAATTAGTTTGTTAAATGTGTTTACACCACAAAAAACTCTAGAAGAATTTCAAGATGTGTAAGTATCATTTTTATTCAGTAATGCACTGTACATCAAAGAATGAACATCTAGAAAAGACAGCAACTGCTTTTTATACTTAGGAAATGTAGGTGGCAATACATTTTGTGACATCACAGATAACTTTCTCTGTTGCAGAGAAATATTTAGAAAATTTGATAGTTATATTTAATTATTTGTACCACATGGGTTTTCATCTTCATAACAGATAAAGGATGACTGGAAAGAATTCTTCAGAGCAGACCAGGATCACTAATGTGTTTTGCTGAACTATAAAATGTTTTTCTCAAATCCCTGATAGCCAGGATTTTAGGGTTCAGGAGTTTATGAGTATTACTTAAAATGATTAAGTCACTAATTCTATTTAAGATTCTGTATTTCCAGAATCTTAAGTAGAATCATCTTACTAACAGTGAAATGAAGTATTAATCTATTGAGAGGCATAATGCCCAACTTCATCCTGAATTTATTGGTGTGTTCAGTCATTAACAAATATCTGATTGCCCTCTGTGTGCTGGGCACTCTCTGGGACTTGGCCTACCTGGCTTCCCTGGAGCCTGTCAGGGAAGATAGACAAGCCACATGATAAATGAGGAAAGCATGTAGTCCATTAGAATGTGCTAGGTGCTGTGGACAAAGGGTGGAGCTGGGTCAGGGGATCAAAAGTGCTGAGGGTTGGACTTGAGGCTGCAGTTTTAAATAAGGTGGCTGGGGAAAGACCTCCATGAGTTGGTGACATTCGAAGAAAGCCTTGAAGGGGATAAAGAAGTTGGTCTGGCCGGGTGCGGTGGCTCACGCCTATAATCCCAGCACTTTGGGAGGCCGAGGCGGGCGGATCACGAGGTCAGGAGATCGAGACCATCCTGGCTAACACGGTGAAACCCCGTCTCTACTAAAAATACAAAAAATCAGCCGGGCGTGGTGGCGGGGGCCTGTAGTCCCAGCTACTCAGGAGGCTGAGGCAGGAGAATGGTGTGAACCCGGGAGGTGGAGCTTGCAGTGAGCCAAGATCGCACCACTGCACTCCAGCCAGGGCGACAGAGCAAGACTCTGTCTCAAAAAAAAAAAAAAAAAGAATTTGGTGCCGCAGATACTTTGGGGGCAAGTAGAATGGAGATAGAAGGAACAGACAGCGCTCAGGACAGCAGTGGATGCCCGCCTGGTGTTTTCCAAGACCATCAAGAGGTGGCGTGGCTAGAGATGAGGGAGCAGGGGAAGAGAAGAGGGTGAACACCACAAGCCTCTAGGCCGTTGTAAGGATGTCTTTTGCTCTAAGGCAAGTCAGAGTAAGAGTCTTAGCAGAGCAGTGAGCTCACCTGCCTTCTGTTTGAAAAGCGTAACTCTGGCATCTGGGTTGGTAACCCACTATAAGGGGTGGGGGCATGGAACATCAGTTACTGCTGTTGCAGCAGTTCTGTTAAGGGATGACGGAGGGTCCATTTGGCCCAGAGGGGTAATAGGAAGGGTGAGAGGGGAAGAGACTGGATGCTGAAATGGTTCTAAAGATAGAGCCATGGTATTAGCTGATAGATGAGATGTGTGGTATGAGAGAGAGGAATTGAGAATGACACCTAGATTTTTGGCCTGAGCACCTGAAGGATGAGGGAGCTCTCAACTGAGATGATGAAGGCTGTGAGAAGAGCAGACTGGGCTAGGGATGGAATCAGGAGTTCAGTTCTGGAGATGGCTTTAAGATGCCTGTTAGACATCAAGGTGGAACTGGGAATAGGGAGGCAGAGGAATGAGCCTGGAGTTCAGGAGATATGTCTGAATTGAACGTAGGAATTTGGGAGCTGATGGCCTGTAACTGAGATCACTAAGAAAGTGAGTGTGGTTACAGAAGAGAAGAGGGTCAAGGACCAGTTGCTGGGTATTTTGACAGCGAGAAGTTAGAGACAGGACAGGGCAGGGCCCGCTGGGATTATAGGACTGGCCAGTGGATTTAGCAGCATGGAAGACATCAGTGGCCTCGAGGAGGACAGTTTCAGCAGAATGGTGGCTGCACAAACCTGATCCAAGTGGGATTAAGAAAAAAATGGGAGAAGGCTGAGTGCAGTGGCTCATGCCTGTAATCCCAACACTTTGGAAGGCCCGAGGTGGGCGGATCACTTGAGGTCAGGAGTTCGAGACCAGCCTGGGCAACATGGCAAAACCCCGTCTCTACTAAAAATACAAAAACTATCCAGGCATGATGGCTGTTTTTTTTTTTTAATTTAATTTTCAGTTCTGGGAGTCCGAGGCATGAGAATGGCTTGAACCCGGGAGGTGGAGGTTGCAGTGAGGCGAGATCACGCCACTGCACTCCAGTCTGGGTGACAGAGTGAGACCCTGTCTCAAAAAAATTTAAAAAATAAAAAGAAGGGAGAAGAATTGGAGATAGCACATGAGACACCTCTTTGGGGAGTTTTGCTTGCAAAGGGAGCAAAGAATCGGGGCGTTGCTAAGCGGGGAGTGGGGTCAAGTGTCCTTTTTGTTGTTGTTGTATAATCACTTTTAAAAACGTATATATTGTAGAGCAATTTAGAGCCACAGCAAAATTGAGCGGGAGGTACTGAGTTCCTGTCTGTCTCCAGCCCCTTACGTGCAGAGCCTCCCCCGTTCTCAGCATCTCCCACCAGAGGGTACATGTGTTGTGATTGATGAGCCTGTAACAGCATGGTCTTTAGGCTGGTACGGAGAATTTCAGCCAAAAATGTAAGAAGTAGGAAAATTTGTGTTTGAGATTCTATTTACCATGCTATAAAAGGTTGTTGTTTTTTTTTTTAATTTTTAACTTGTAAGACGTTAAGTTTGTTATTTATATATTCTTTGGAAAATTTTTAGAAAGTTCCATTATACCAAGTTATCTTTTTACTTTAGCCAGTGCAGTGATTGGAAGTAAGTTACAGTTTCATGAAATTTAGTCATAAAGGAACTTTGGATAATTTTCAAATAAATAACTGACCTTTTCTCCCTCAGGTATTTGGTTATGGAATTAATGGATGCTAACTTATGTCAGGTTATTCACATGGAGCTGGATCATGAAAGAATGTCCTACCTTCTTTACCAGATGCTTTGTGGTATTAAACATCTGCATTCAGCTGGTATAATTCATAGAGTAAGTGGTGATGTATTAATTTTATTTTTAAAAACAATCATTTGGTTGTCATAATCCTTTACATACAAAATAACATTTAAAAAAAATTGTTAGGCTTGAAAATCCAAATAGATGATGGAATCATATGGTGTTTTAAGAGAGTCATTCTAGGAGGCATCTGTGGAGCCGCCTGGCCTGCCAGGCTAGACCAGCTGCTGTGGACACAGCCAGGTACTGCGCTCTCAGTCAGATACTGCGCAAGAATACATTGTTTTAAACTTTTCATTTTAAAGTAACTTAAAACTTAGAGAAAAATTTCAAGAATAGGACAGAGAACTTCCAACTACCATTTATCTACATTCACCTGTTTTTAATATATTTGCCATATGTGAAATCCCATTTTTAATGAGCAAGGAACTTAAAGGCCAAGTAGTCAGTGAGACAGCTGCTTGAGAACTCTCTTTCTTAAATAATGACCCACATATCCATTTCTCTTATCCTAAAATTCTGCCGTGCCAGCTTCCCTGCATCACTGGTGGGAGTGGCCAGACCCTGCACCGCAAGGGTTCAGAGCAGGCCTGTGGGCTCAGCAGAGGCCGGGATTTGAATAACAGTGTGACTGTACTGTCAGGAAAAACATTTAATAAGCTAGGGAGCGATAATATAATTAATATAATTCTCTCTAAGCTGATTTTACAATTTTTTGTTATTATTACTTGTACGGCTGTGTAAGCAGACTATCATGATAGATTTTTTTTTTTCACAATTTGATACCAATACTTCAGTAGCAAAGAAAATGAAATAAACTTCTTCCTGCCAAAAAACAGTACATTTTTCATAAAAAAGAAAGATGGAATTGATGTAATAGGTGAAGAACAATTAAAACTTGTCAAATAAGGCCAGTAAGAAAACCCCAACAGTTAACAAAATCTGTTTTCAATGACATATTACAGAACAATTAAAAAGCTACATAAAAATCAGTGTTACCTACTTATTAGAAATACATTTTAATTCACCTGTAGATCCAAAAACATTTAGACATACAGACAAAATTTTGTATTAACTGACAAAAAAACCCACACTACCTATTGGATTCATGTTGCTTAAAGGGTATCTACAGAATTCTCACCTCAATATTTTCGTGTTAAATAAGGTGGAAATCAACAGTCCAGAGATGGTCATTAGAAATGAGCCACTGACAAACACAATATATTTATAACTTGTATAACATTTCATTCATGTGCATGTTTTGAGCATTGTGGAATATTTAATTTGCATCAGGCTTTCCAAATTCCTTAAATTTATAAGATTTGTTCTCAGTGGGAGTTCTCAGATGACTTTTGAAATAATTATTAAAATGAAAATTTATTTGCAAACTACTAGGGTTTAGATACAGAATACCTTCTTGTATTTAAAGATCCATCTCCAGTTTGCATACATCATGTCTTTCAATGTGCCGGAGAGAAACAAAGGCATCCCCACGTTCTTTACATTTATAGGGTTTTTTAGAAATGAGTTCTTTTATGTCTTCAAGTAGAACTGGAAAGACTGAAGACACTACCACATTGTTTACATGCATAGAATTTTTCCTCAGTAGTAGTTTTGTTTCGTATTTTCAAAGGGAAATGGAAGAGTTCCATGTGCTTTTTAATGTGCTCAGAGGTAACTGGAACATATAAAGGCATCATCACATTCCTCATATGCATGTTATGTAAATTATACGGTTTTCCTCCAGTATAATTTCTTTCATGTTTTCAAAGATAACTGAATTAACTGAATGTTTTCCCCAAATCCTTACATTCTCAGGATTTCTACAGAGTATGAGTTTTTTCATGTTTACATACAGGACTGGAATATCTAAAGGCTTTGCCACATGCCTTACAGTCATAGGGTTTCTCTCCAGTTTGAGTTCTTTCATGTTTACATAGAGAACTGGAATATCTGAAGACTTCACCACATTGCAAGTCTGAAGACTTGACCACATTCCTTATAGTCAAAGGGTTTCTCTCCAGTATGAGATTTTTCATGTTTACCTAGAGAACTGGAATGTCTGGAGACTTGACCACATTCCTTACAGTCAAAGGGTTTCTCTCCAGTGTGAAATTTTTCATGTTTACATAGAGAACTGGAATGTCTGAAGACTTGACCACATCCCTTACAGTCAAAGGGTTTCTCTCCAGTGTGAGTTCTTCCGTGTTTACATAGAGAACTGGAATGTCTGAAGACTTGACCACATTCCTTACAGTCAAAGGGTTTCTCTCCAGTGTGAGATTTTTCATGTTTACATAGAGAATTGGAATGTCTGAAGACTTGACCACATCCCTTACGGTCAAAGGGTTTCTCTCCAGTGTGAGTTCTTTCATGTTTACGTAGAGAACTGGAATGTCTGAAGACTTGACCACATTCCTTACAGTCAAAGGGTTCCTCTCCAGTGTGAGTTCTTTCATGTTTACATAGAGAACTGGAATGTCTAAAGACTTGACCACATTCCTTACAGTCAAAGGGTGCCTCTCCAGTGTGAGTTCTTTCATGTTTACTTAGAGAACTGAAATGTCTAAAGACTTGACCACATTCCTTACAGTCAAAGGGTTTCTCTCTGGTATGAGATTTTTCATGTGTTCAAAGGGAGCTGGAATGCCTGAAGGTGTTACCACATTTTTTTTTTTTTTTTGAAACAGAGTCTTGCTCTGTTGCCCAGGCTGGAGTGCAGTGGTGTGATCTTGGCTCACTGCAACCTCCACCTCCCAGGTTCAAGCAGTTCTCCTGTCTCAGCCTCCCAAGTAGCTGGGATTACAGGCACCTGCCACCAAATTTGGCTATTTTTTTTTTTTTTTTTTTTTTTAGTAGAGACAGGATTTCACCATGTTGGCCAGGCTGGTCTCGAACTGCTGACCTCATGATCTGCCTGCCTCAGCCTCCCAAAGTGCTGGGATTACAGGTGTGAGCCACTGCGCCCAGCCACATTTTTTATATTCATAAGGTTTCTCTCCAGTATGAGTTCTCTCATGTGTTTGGAGGTAACTGAACCGACTGAAGCCTTTATCCCATTTTTGACATTCATTGGGTTTCTCTCCAGTATGAGTTCTTTCATGTCTTCTAAGGGAACTGTGTTGACTGAAGGCTTTGCCACATTTTTTACAGTTATAGGATTTCTCTCCAATATGTGTTCTTTGATGTCTTCACATGGAGCGGGGATGACTGAAGGCTTTGCTACATTTCTTACATTTATAGGGTTTCTCTCCAGTATTATTTCTTTTATGTTTCTGAATGGAACTGGAAAGAGTGAGTCTTTTACCATATTTCTTAAACACATGGAAGATTTTTCACATTGTGAGCTCTTTATGTCTTTGAAAGTAACTACAAAAACTGAATCGTTTCCCACATTTCCTACATTCACGGGGTTTCTCTTCAGCATGAGCACCTTTATGGTTATGAAGGTAACCAGAATGTCCAAAGGCTTTCTCACATTTCTGACATTTATAAGGTTTTTCCCCACTGTGAGTTCTTTTATGTTTTTGAAAATAACTGCAAAATCTCAAGGCTTTACCACCTTTCTTCCATTCACAGGGTTTTTCTCCGTTGTAAATTACTTTGTGTCTTTGAAGTAAATAGAGAAACTTAAATGTCTTCCCACATTTCTTACATTTATGAGGCCTGTTACCAGTGTGTGTTACCATGTGTCTTTGGACATTTGTGAGAGAAATGAAGGTTTTCTCACATTGTTTACATTTGTATGGCTTCACCCCACGTTTCTCCCATGCATGTAGTTTGTGTCCAGAATGAGATAAGATGTGCCTATTAAGGGATGAAGGACATGTGAAGACTTGTCCACACACTCTGCATTCACATGAATTTACATCAGCAGAAATTTTCTTCTTCAGGTTCAGATTTGGAATCTGGCCGAATATTTCTCCACAATGACTACCTTCTTTACATTCACAGAGTCTTTCTCCCATAGGACTTCATAAATTTTTTCCAGAATTATTGAAATGACTTTCACTGTTCTGGTCTTCCCATTTGTTTCCATTTCCTGGCTTCCAGGATTCTATGGCATCCTGCTTAGGGATCTCCAAGGTCACAGGGTGACAGTCTGTGGCAGAGCCACCTAGGGCCTCCTGGCCCGAATTTTTTCTAAAAAACAATTAAAATACTGAGTGAGACTAGAGGCAGAGATAATATAATTTTATCGGAAATAGATATTCTTAGCATTCCCTGGATTATTACTATACTAATTTTATCAACAGATTGCCATTAGATTTTATGTTCCAACAGCAAGAGGTCATCTTTTTGCTGAACTGAAATCTGTGGGGAAGAAGCTAGTGAGAGACAAGAACAGCAGAGCCTGTTACTACAGAAATAAGCAGATGGGTTTTAGATGGTGGAGTGGTAATAATTTTTTCAGATCTCTTTTGCCAGGAAAGATTGGTTCCATCACAGCCATTGAAGGCCTCCCTTGGGGGTAGAGCCCACCGACCCACAGAGGGCAGGGTTGTCTCGTCTCAAGCCTCAGGTCTGTGGCCCAAGGGCAGCGTCAGGGATAGCTCTTGTCCTCCCAGGGCTAGCTGACAGCCTCCCATCTGCCATCTAGTGTACTGTTTTTTAAAATAGAACCTTTGCTGCCATCAGATGGTCAGTTAAAATAATATATTGGTGACTTTGCTTTAAAAATAGTAACACTAGGCTTCTGAATTAAAGATCTCCTGATGTACCATTCTATTTCTGTTCCTGAAGTTTCCACAGACCTTCATATAATTTAAGGTACTCTTGATATCTCTTAAATACATTTTATTTATGCTTTAGAATAATTTCCCAGATTATTAGTCTTACTACATTAGGCCTTATTCATTTTATAAGGGGAAATGGTTTGTCTGACTTGTTCCCCCTTGGGCCCCAAGGTAAGTGGGAAACAATGGCCTCCTGTCACTGGGGGCTTTGTGAGAGCTGCAGCGTCGGCAGGCCTTTTTTATGGAATAGCCGGTGCCTGCAGCCTGAGTCAGATGGGGCCCAAAGGAGTGTTTGGTTTGCCCAGCACGAGGTATAGAAACCTAAGAAGCCTTCAGAAAATGGCCCTGTTGCCATCCCTGCCTCCTGCTCACCATCCCCACCCACCTGGCATCTTGCTGTGTCCTCTCCTCCCTGTCACCTTGTTCCCTGCTGCTTCCCACATCCATGGCCTTGCCAGGCTCTCCCCACATCTGTGTCCATGTGGGAGAGTGATGCATGCTCACTGTGGGGAAGTTCCAAACATTGCACAGGTGTATAAAGCAAAGGGGGAAACTCCCTCTTGCCCCCTGCCCCCCTGCCCCACCCCTGCCCACATCCCAGGAAGGGAGGAGCCCTAAGTTAACTGTTCTGTGTGGACTGCACCATCCTTTGTTCCATCTACAGTACCATGCACAGAGATAGACACACTTTTAATTTTGCCTATTAAAATGGTTTAATACAAAACATAAATTTTAAGTATTTGAAAGATAAAGTTTTGCCCATGATATCCCACCGAAGTATATACTTTATATAATTCAAAAAATGAAATGCAAGTAACCCAGCCCTCTGTTAGCACCTGGAGATGGCCAGTGAGAGCACGCTGGTGCATGTCCTGCCTCACTCTGCATGGCACCTCTCTGTTGACTGATGTTAACACCAGCATATCTGTACTTATGTCCTTTTGAACTTACATCCTTCAAAGACAGGATCACCTTGCATATAACTGCGTAGCAACTTCCTAAACAGGTAGCTTGGTTTGTTTTTTTAAATCAAGGATCAAATATTTCTATAAATATTTATGAAAAACAGATACCTCCACCTCTCCCTTTATTTCTCTCTCCCTAGAAGCAAACTCCTTCAGTTCATTTAGCTGATTATTTTGGTCTCTATTTCCATATTGAAATAATATGCTTAGCTCTTTCTTCATTGATCCTTTCTCAGTTTGGGGCATAAGATGCTGATTTAGCTTCTTACCAACCCAGCCCTCACCCTCGGCCTTCCTCGCCCTCCTCCCAGGCTGGTGGATGTGATGGTGTTTGGCTCGTTGCGTCATCGTGAGCGTGTAAATGCTTTGCACAGCAGACCTTCCCCTTTCACCTTTTGTTCCCTGGAGTTAACAAACACTTATACTCTATTTGTGTGAGGTTTTTGTTTGTTTTGGGGGGTAGTTTCTGTGTTCTTGGTGGTAATTCAACCCTAACTCTTCCATCAGGCATCTGAATTTTCTCTCAGCACATGTAGATGTCTTGGGTATTTCATCAGTTTCATCTTCTCAGGAACCTCTCCCAAGCCTCAGCCCTGTTCCCCTTTGCACTGGCTGCCACTGCACCTGCTCGAAGGGGCTGTCCTGGATCTCCCTTGGTGATTTTGTGGGGGTTTCCTTCATCTGCCTCCCATGTTGGATTCCTTGCTTGCTGTCCTTGTCTCTCAGATTACCCCCTTGTTTTGGTGGGACGCATCCTCCAAAAGCTTCCTAAATTGCCACAGGGGAGAGAAATTTTTTGAGGCCTCAAATGTCTGAAACTCTTTATTCTGCCCTCTCACATGATGAGTAGTGTGGTTGTGTGTAGATGTGTGTAGAATTCTTAGTTACAGATCAGTTGCGCTCAGAATGGCGGAGGCAGTGCCTGTGGTAGCAAGGCATCTAGCATGGCTCCGGAGTTTCTTAGTGCCATCTGATGTTTTTTTAGATGGAGTCTCGCTCTGTCGCCCAGGCTGGAGTGCAGTGGCATGGTCTTGGCTCAGTGCAAACTCTGCCTCTCGGGTTCACGCCATTCTCCTGCCTCAGCCTCCCTAGTGGCTAGGACTGCAGGCGTCCGCCACCACGCCCAGCTAATTTTTTGTATTTTTAGTAGAGACAGGGTTTCACCTTGTTACCCAGGATGGTCTCGATCTCCTGACCTCGTGATCCGCCCGCCTCGGCCTCCCAAAGTGCTGGATTACAGGCATGAGCCACTGTGCCTGGCTGATGACTAACCTTTTTTAAGTGCTGTGGTTTTGGGTTTTGGTTTGGTTTTATCTCTGGAAACTTTTAAACTCAGTTATTTATTCCTTGTATTCTGAGATGTTTTGATGTATGCCTTGATGTGGGCATTTTTTCTTTAGTTTTGCTGGGCACTTGGCCTTCAGTCTGGAAGCACATATTATAGAGGTCTGAGAAATTTATATCATTTCTTTCAGAATGTCCTCTTAACTCCATTCTTTATTCTTTTTCTCTGAAGCACGAGTTAATTGACACTCATTTGCTCTTAAAAGTTCCTTTTTACAGCATTCTGTTCTTGTTGCATGTATATACTATCATCTCTGAGGATAAGCTTTTGTTGAAGGGTTTTATCACTCCCTGCATTGTCTTTCTCTACTGAGAGTTCCCTTTTTAGTGTGTTAGGTCCCTCCCTGTCACACGCAAGGCTTTCCCCAAATGTCTGGTTGGATCATGTTTAAGATTGAAACATTAGGCCAAGCACGGTGGCTCATGCCAGTAATCCCAGCACTTTGGGAGACTGAGGCGGGCAGATCACCTGAGGTCAAGAGTTCGACACCAGCCTGGTCAACATGGTGAAACTCTGTCTCTACTAAAAATATAAAAATTAGCTGGGCGTGGTGGCAGGTGCCTATAATCCCAGCTAGTCAGGAGACTGAGGCAGGAGAATTTCTTGAACCCAGGAAGCGGAGGTTGCAGTGAGCTGAGATAGTGCCATTGCACTCCAGCCTGAGCAACAAGATCGAGACTTCGTCTCAAAAAAAAAAAAAAAAAAAAGAGATTGAAGCATTAAAGGCTGACTGGAAGTACTGAGTGAATGGGTAAATTGTTAAAGAATGGGTGTCTCTTGGACCACAGGCAGCCACAGGTGTCACCTTCTGTAGGTTTTTTCTCTGGGCACCATTTAATTTCTCTGGAAAAGGCCCCTTCAGTCCCTTGGTGGAGGGATGTAAGCCTGGCTGCTGGGGTACAGGGCTGTGCTTCTCATGTGGCAGAGCGCAAACTCACCAGGCAGCCCTGTTGCAGGCAGGCCTCACCGTGCCTTCCCTGTTGGTACCCACAGGACTGTGCATGCGGCGCCTGTGGCCCTGCACCTGGAAGCTGGGCATCAGTTTCTCTGCGTGAAGGGCCAGCAGGAGTGAGGAAGGAGTGGAGCCTCACTTCTGGGATGGAGATGGGGATCTGGGACATCTACTACGTACTTGGACTTTCAATAAAATGAAAACTTCTCCAAGTGCTACCCTTGCCTCTTCTGCCTCCATAGCACCTGCATTTCACTTGCTGAGCCTTTCCTGGGTGTCGTGGCCATTTATAGAGGTTGGCATTTCCTTCGCTCAGCTAGGGCATTTGGGCGGCCCTGCAGCTTCCTGTCCCTGTAGCGTGGGGCTTTTCGTGGGCGGCTTCCGCATGCCACGGTGGGTTAGACAGGCGAGGGACTGGCCGGGAGGAGGCCTGTGCGAGAAGGAAGGGGGAGCAGCCAGAGGAGGCAGCAAATGCTAGCTGAACGTAGTGCAGTCCTGGCCCCTCAGAGGCCTGGTCCAGACTGCGGTGCAGCTCTGAGGGCCTCCGGTGTCACACAGGAACGGGCCTGCCTCAGCATCCCTGCCCGGTCGGCCCCTGGCTGACGGCTCTGTGGGAGGTGTGCCCTGGCAGGGACAGAGGGTAGGTGCAGACACCACACTGGGCCATCTGTCACTCTCACTCCTGTGGCGGGAGACCAAGGAGTGCATTTCCGTGGACCCCACAGTCCACCCTGGCCCCCTCAGCTCTACTTCTCCACATAAGTTGGGAATGGCTTTCCTGTGGCGCCCATGGTTCTCTCTTCCTCAGGGGAAATCTGGAAGACAGAGGTTAGTGGGACACCCTGTAGTCCCTGTCACTGTGGTCTCTCTGCTGGCTCTTTCCCTACCCTTTCCTGTTATTCATACCCTCAGCTCTCACATTGGCAGGCCTCTGTGGCTTGCCTGGCCTGTGTCCCAGGCCTTCATTCCTGAGCCGTCTGTGTCTGGTGGCTCTCAGTGGGCCACAGGGTCCCAGGCCACCCAGTGGCCGTCTCCCCAGTCCTCAGTGTGTAGCCGGAGCGGAGGCGCTTGGCAGGTGGAGTAACGCCCACACGAGTTCCTTGGCCTGTGAGTAAGAGTCGTCACAGTGGGAAGGCCAAATGGAAACCTGAAACTGCCCCCAAGATAGTAAATCAAAAACAAGATCACACCCTGCAGGGCCCGGGGTGGGTGGAGGAGACTAGGGCCACCATGGAAGCCTCAGGGGAGCAGAGACAGTGGTATCTTGCATCCCAGTCTAACTCGTTAGTCCAGCCCTTGAAGAAGCTGCATGGATTCTGGAGAATGACCCCAGACGGCCACAGGCTTACGGCACTGGCAGTCCTGGCCGCAGCTGCTGTGCATGTCAAGGTGCAGTTGTTGCTGGAGCAGATTAATAAGGCCTCAGGTCTGGCATGTTGATGGGGCAAATGCATCCTCCACACTGATTAGAAGAGAGGCCCAGACAGCGCCCACACTGCTGCAGGCTGGACAGCAATGTTCTCTCACAGCCTTGCTCTAAGCCTTTGCTAACGTTCCCACCCTCCCATAACATGGCCGCAAGAGACCTGGCCCAGACTTCACTTATGCCCTGACCCCTGACCCCTGACCCCACGAACCCTGCAAGTGGAGGAGCCCTGAGAGTGTTTGGGGTCTTCGGGTTTCAGTGTCTACTTAGAGCTGTGTCCATTCATCCTCAAGAGTGCCTGGCTGTTCTTACCCGGTGGGTGGCCACAGGTACCTGTGGGGAAGGACCGGCAAGGCCAGACAGTGGACACCTGTCATGATGTGCTCCTTCCTGGGATACCTCTCAAGCAGTGGGTCTGGATCCCAGAGTTGAGCGGGCAGTGGGGGAGGTCAGCACCTGCCCCACTCATGCTGCGGGTGCTGTGGGTACCCTCACTGCTGCCCACAGGGTAGCGTTGGGTTCCAGGCATTTTGGGAGCCAAGCCCCGATCCAGGCGTCACTTGGATCTGTACTTGGCATTTGTCTTCTTTGTTCTGAGTGATTTTCAAGACTTGAAGGGGCAGAACTGTCTTTCCTCTGCTGTCTTGAAATTGAAGTGAGGTGTTGGGAAGCTGCCTCAGGTTGTATTTCGGGGGTGACTAGAGAGGGTCCCAGGGTGCGGGGAGAGCACCTCCTTAGCCACCTCCCCATTGGCCACACAGAGCACCCACACAAGCTTGGGACTTTATCACCACAGTCTTCCAGCAGACGGCAGTAAAGTGTGCTTTTCCTGTTAAATTAGTATGTGATGACAGTTTTTTGACAGATGGCAGTGTCTTCAGATGAGCGTGTTTCTGGCGCACTGGGGTTCACAGAGCTGGCAGGCAGCCCGTGGAGATGGTTCCACTGCTGCGTCTGTCCTTGGTAGAACCAGGCTGTCCTTGTCTTCCTTGCTCCTGCGGCCGTGCTGTTAGTTCTGGGTGGGCTGGGCTTCAGGGCCTGCTGGCTGGGGAAGTGTGTGCATTTCACACCTCAGAAATCAGCCTCCTGGAGAGAAAGTGCCCACTGCACACCCTCTGTGGCCTGAGGAAGCGCCTGTTTCTGCTTCTCCCGCCAGCACCGAGTCTGCTTGCTTTCCATCGCTGCCAAGTGATAGACTAAAAATGGGCATTCATTTTGGGTTTTTAAAGAAGATTTTTGTGAGATTGAGCATTATTTTATCTGTTAGTAATTTATGTTCTAAAATGCCTGTTCTTGTCATACTCTTTGATTTTAAAAAAGGAAACAAGAAGCGAATTCGTTCATTTGGTCTTAGCTCCCTGACTTGGTCCTCACAGCGGAGCGTCCCTGGTTGAATGTGGGCTGCTTCTCCCTGGCTTTCCTTCATGCAGGGAGGCAGCCCGGTTTCTTCCTCTCAGGCCTTTCTGGGAACCGGGGGTGTCTGCACAGTACTCTAAGGTGGAATGGAGGGGCTGGGGGCCTCTTTTTGGGGCCAGGTAGAGATTGTGACTGCATTTTTAAACATTATATGTTTATCATTTAAATCTTACAGAATCTAGGAAGCCTAGAAACAGGTCACTTAGCAGCATGGCAGTGTAATTGTACCTGTTGTCAATGTCGAAATGGCTTCCTGCTTGCCCTGATGACAGCCCCACAGCCTTCACTGAGGCATGCCGCCTGCAACCCCCCTTGTGGCCCATCAGTTGGGGTGTCTTACAGGCAGGTGCTAGGCAGTGCTACTGAACCTGCAACTTCCTGGGTAAAGTATCCTCATGCCTTACGCCATGTCAGTGGCTTGGCAGTTTGACATTGCAGGTGCACTACTCTTGTGAAAAGAATGGGTGTGGGTTGTTTACAAGTCACAGTTTCTCAAGTGAGTTTGCAGGCCGAAGTCCCCAGGCAAAAGTCAAATTCCTAAGGCCTGAGGAAGGGGCTAGGGTGGAGGATCAGCAGGAAGAAAATCCCTTAGTTATGAGGGAAAAGGTTGCAGAAGTTGTGTTAAGGCTTTGCAAGTCAGGTGGAATATGATGCATGTCTTCATTCTGCAGACACTTCCCAAGTGTCTGCTCGCGCCAGGCGTGCTTCTGAGTGCTGAGAGCTCACACAGAGTCAGCACTGGGGAGGGAAGAGAGGTGGCAACCAGAACATGAGCAGGTGAGTTTTTGTGCCACGTACAGATGGAGACAGCAGCACCAGTGCTGGCGTGTCTTTGTGGCGAAGGTGAGAAGATTGGAGGTGGATGATCATGGAATTGCTCTTCCAAGGAGAGAAAGAGCCATGGGAAGATTCCAGGATCAGACGATTCTAGACCTGTGCTGTCCAGTATGGCAGCCACTAACCACAGGAGGCTGTGGAGCACTCAGGATGTGGCCGTGCTGCAGTTGTAAAATACATACTGGACTTCAAAGGCTCAGTACTAAAAAGAGAATGTAAAATATCTCAGTATTTTTCTTATGTTGATTACATTTTGAAATGATAATATTATGGATATATTGGGTTAAAAAAATATACTGTATGATTAAAATTAATTTCACCTATTTCTGCATGCTGTTGAGCATGGCTAGTAGAAAATGTAAATTATACACATCGTTCGCATTATATGACATTGTCTGTGGGACAGCACTGCCCTGGACTGACAGACAGCATGAGGACCTTAGCAAGAGAGAGTCAGAGTATTGGGGAACTCAAGTCCAGGCGTGGAGAGCAGGAGGGGGCCGTGTGTGCTGGACTGACAGCATGAGGACCTTAGCAAGAGAGAGTCAGAGTATTGGGGAACTCAAGTCCAGGCGTGGAGAGCGGGAGGGGGGCATGTGTGCTGGACGTGTAGATGCATGGATGGAGGGTAGATAGGACAGCCTGAGGGCCTGCGAGACCACAGAAAGGGCAAATGGGGGCCATGAAGGTTTCCACTGGGGGTAAGGGGCACCATCTGACGGCTTTAGGCTGATTTGTTTTAGTTTCAATTTGAGAGTAAGATTTTCCAAAGTTGTTCCCAAATCTCAGAGTTCAGTTCACTCCCTACACTCTCACACTGGCTTCACGACCCTCACGGATGTGAAGTAGTTTATTTAGCATGCTTCATTCATTTTACTAATTTAAGCCATTTCTTTCCTAGGATTTGAAGCCTAGCAACATTGTTGTGAAATCAGACTGCACCCTGAAGATCCTTGACTTTGGCCTGGCCCGGACAGCGTGCACTAACTTCATGATGACCCCTTACGTGGTGACACGGTACTACCGGGCGCCCGAAGTCATCCTGGGTATGGGCTACAAAGAGAACGGTGAGTATAGCCGGGGCTGGAAGAGGCTGGGATGTTTAGAAATTGCTCTAGCGGTGGTCTCGAGTTTTTTCTCTTTCCTTTGAACCATATGATATATACTGTGGGGACTGTTACACCCAGAATATAGCATGATCCAGAGATAAGAAATAATTAATTGTGTTTTTCCATTGGTTAAAATCATTCTCTTTTAAAAATTCACTTTTAAAATTGTTATTTTTGAACTTTTTAATCAGAGTTAAGCTGTCTATAGCCAAGTGTGCAAATCCTGAGTGTGCAGCTCAGCTGAGGTGAGCACACCCACAGCAGCAGCAGCTCTGGCCTCCCCATGGCCCCTCCTCGCAGCCCACGAGGCTGGCCAATCTCCTGATCTCCAGTACCATGGATCAGCTTTATTTGTTGGTCTGCATATTGTTTTTTTGAATTTGATGTAAATAGAATAACACATGTTTTCATGTAAAATTGGTGTCTTTTTACATCAAAACTTAGCTTATTCTAGCAATATCAGAGCTCTTTGAAACTTGGCTTTTAGCAAATTTGTTGAAAATAACGAAATCACGCTTACTTATTTTTAAAAAGACTGAAAGTTTGCCCGGGTCATCTGAAATGAGTTTTGCTACAGGTTCATCTTGCTGCGTTGTAGCTTGTGTTCCCACCCTGAGGGGCACAGCTTCATGTGCTTCCTGTGGAGGGGAGAGAAAACTTGATCCCCTGTTCACTTCTCCCCTCGGCCCGCCAGCAGGGCACTTAGAGGCCTCTGCTGTCTGTCTGAGGCCCCACAGATGAGGGTGGGCACCGTGGAAGTCTGGGCCCCTCTAGCAGGGCCTCACCTGCAGTCCTGCAAGCCAGCCAGCCTGTGCCGCCAGTGAGTGCTGCTGCCTTTCTGACGGGGCAGTCTAGAAAATGATCGCTCAGGAGGTGTGGTATCAACAACGCACAGAGGCTCCCGCCGGCAAGCTAGTGACGTGTACCGGGTTTGTCCTGGGAGGGGGTTTGAAGAAAAAAGATGGGGGACTCTAGCTGGTTTTTAATCCCCTGGTGTTTGGTAGTGGACATCTGGTCTGTCGGGTGCATCATGGCAGAAATGGTCCTCCATAAAGTCCTGTTCCCGGGAAGAGACTGTATCCTTCACAGGGGACCCGGTACTTGGCCATGGAGGCTGGGGTGGGCGTGTGGCCCTGAAAAGCTTTGTGTTCACAGGCACTTCTTGTTTCTGGTTTTTTGTTTGTTTGTTTGTTTGTTTTAAGCTATAAAGTATTGGACTCTTTGGCACTAAAACCCCAGATTGCTACAAACCGAAGGCTAAAATAGAGGTCAGCAATCATTCATATTGTGTAAAATGTCACCCTTAGCTAGCAATTTATTTTTCCATATTTGTGTGTTTAGTGCACTGTTAGAATTCCTTTTCCTCACTTTTGTTTTGTTCATGGCACTTCATAATTTTATCATTTCATTTTATTTTCAGTTGATATCTGGTCAGTGGGTTGCATCATGGGAGAGCTGGTGAAAGGTTGTGTGATATTCCAAGGCACTGACCGTATCCTTCCCCGCGACCTTGGCCCCGCCATGCTTTCTTAATGCCTCAGGCAGCATGACCACCTGCTTACACGAGCGCTCACGAGGACAAAGTCGTAAAATCCACTCCAGACTGTGTTCTAAGGGGGGCTTTACTGTATTTGTTAATTAGTGTCACAAGCCAAGTGGTTCAATTTCATTCTTTATTTTTAACTTGACTACCTGTGATGACTTTGAGACTTAGAGTTCAGTTAAACCGATTATATTAGCTCTTAATTTTGCCAAAAATAGCTGGACACATAGAAGAAATTATTTACTCTTTGATAAGTATATTCTGATATTTAAATGAAAATACTGTATTATTTAGTTTATTCCGTTAATTTAACTAGGAAAGATGCTATCTAAATTTAATAGGCTAGTGTGCTTGTGTGCTTTAATTAAGTACTATTTTGTTAGTTACTGGTATGCATTGAAATATTTTCCCCCAAAGTAAGAACTGAAGCACATTACAAAGGACCTAAGTGAAAGAGATTAAAATGAAAATTTTGTGAGGAACAATATGTTAAACTTTCTTGTTTGTTACTGTGCTGACATTTTGTAGAATTTTTTTTAAAAATCTGTCTAGTGGGTTATTTTGTGACACACTGGGGAAGTCAAAATAAATGTAAAATGAAAGAGATAAACTCATACTGTAGTCAGCAAGTCATGTTAGAGATACAGCAGAAAGGAGAATAACTACTCTAATTGTTACAATAGCCTTCTTTCCTCATTTGCCATTCTTCCATCCTCAGTATTTTTTACCCTAACATGGTTCTTCACATCTTCCCTTTTTCATTTGTGTTTTAACCACTTAGTTTTTCATTAGTCTTTGACTTTGTTTTCGTTATGAAAGTTTAAATTGGTCTCCATCCTTGGGCAGATTGATGGTTGCTTTTAAGGAAATCAAGCTCCATAGTCAGTGTTTTGTATGTATCTTAGGAAAATAATTTCAGATTTTAATAATTTTATCAAAGTGGTCTCCTTATAAATTCTTCACAGTGCAAACTTAAAGTGAAAATATTTTTATTTCTCTCATTTTATTTACCTTTCTTTACATTTTCTATATCATAGATTATATAATATGTCAAGTTATTTTATTTGTTCTACTAAATTTTCTAGCAGTTTCCATAGCCTCATCTCAGATTCACTTGTTGCAACCTATAAATAAGGACGTCTTTATTTTGCAAGTAAACTTAATTAAAAAGGGAAAAGTTGAAAAATTAAAAGACTAATAATTTAGAAATATCTACTTAATGTTCAGTTTGTCTCAATTCTTACTCATTTTGTGCCATTCCTTGTTTTATTACAAAATGTTTTCTTCAAAAAGTACAAAAATGAAAAATGTGAGTACTTTTTGGTGCATTTTAGTAAGTAAAATTAAAATTCCTGCTATACATATGAACATTAATGTCAGTAATTAATAGTGTTATATATAAGGTTACCTAATGTTATTCCCAAAAGCCACACAGAGTTTAACATCATTTTCTAAAGAAAATTTTGCCAACTCTTTCAAATATTAGATTGAAATTTGGGAGATAGAAAAAAGTTGCAGAAATCAGACTGAGGGTCTCAGAGATTTGCTTTAATTTGCGACCCAGGGTAGAAAAGGAACTCCTGTCCCTGCGGTGGTCTATGAGAAAGAGAAAGCTTTAGCCCGGCCACCTCGGGCCCCAGCTCAGACTCCTCCCCTTGGCAGCCATGCATCCTTGAGAAATTTAGGGCCTCTCTGAGCCTTGGTTTCCCCTTCTGTAAAATAGACCTGTGGTCTGCCTGCAGCTTCACGAGAGTTAGACAACAGGGTCCACTGGGCTTGTCGGAATTATTGTTCCCCTTCCCCCGTCCCTCTCATCTGTCCCCCATCCCTCCCACCTGTAGGATGCTGGGGTGGAGTCCTCTCGGGGAATCTGTGGGTCTCCTCTCACAACTGGTTTAATTTCTAGTCCTTTATCATTAACCCAGCAGATATTTCTCTCACCTGCCCATTTCTGGGTGCCTAGTCTGACTGAGATGCAAAGAGGCTCCTCCCAGCTGCTGAATTGAGGGTGGATCGTCAAGGGCAGGGCAGAGCAGGAGAACAGAGCAGAGGCTGCCATCATCCAGAGGAGAGGTGGAGGCCCCCAGCAGGCGGGTAGGGGTGTGGCCGGGGAGATGGGCTTGTACTCTGCTTTGAAGCTGGACCCTTCAAGGAGCCTTGCTAGGGTTTGGAGATGTCTGTTAGACAGTGGAATTTAGGGGCAAGGTCTGGGATAGAGAGATCAAAGTGGGTGTCATCCGTCTGTCGGTAGCCTTGAAGCCTAGGACTGGTAGCGAGCACTTGCAGGGGAGGAAGAGACCAGGACCCGGGACTTAGCCCCCTTGAGGTGGAGGGACAAAGGGAATAGGGAAGGAAATGGAGAAGGCACTCACGTGACCCCTCCTCCTAGAGTGTGGTGACTGAGGGAGGCTCATTCACATGAGGAGATGAGGACGGGGGATTGGCCCCTGGGCCTTGTGATGGCTGCTGGCAGCCATGATGGGCACAGCATTTATGGAGTGGAGGGAAGAAAGCCTGATGGGAGTATGTTTGAGAGAAAATGAGAGGCTGGGAATTAGAGACACAAGTGTAGACAGCTCTTTTTTCTTTCCTTTTTTTTTTTTTTTTTTCCTTTGAGACAGAGTCTCACTCCATTGCCCAGGCTGGAGGGCAGCGATGCGATCTCAGCTCACTGCAACCTCTACCTCCTGGGTTCAAGCGATTCTTCTGCCTCAGCCTCCCGAGTAGCTGGGATTACAGGCGCCCGCCACCACGCCTGGCTAATTTTTGTATTTTTAGTAGGGCCAGGGTTTCACCGTCTTGGCCAGGCTGGTCTTGAACACCTGACCTTGTGATCCACCTGCCTCGGCCTCCCAAAGTGCCGGGATTACAGGTGTGAGCCACTGAGCCCGACCGACAGCTCTTTATGGAAGTTTTTGCTGCAAATAGGAATAAGAAATAAAGCGATAGGTAGGGCCAAAGGAAAGCAGCTACTGTGTTAACATAGGAGAAAACACCATCATTTACCAACGTGGTGGAATGTATTGGTAGAGTGCAAAATGTCGATGATGTTGGAGAAGGAAGAGTTGAGGGAGCTTGTCCTTGAGTCAGGGGGGTTAGGGTCTAGAGCTGAGCAGGCTTAGTGTAGCCGGGAGCCCAGATGGTTGCTGTGTGGCAAATGGCACACAGATGCTGGGTGGGTGCATCCTGGGAAGTCTGTGGGAGTGAGCAGGCAGAAGAGGTATCAAAAGTATAAGGTGGGCTGGGCGCAGTGGCTCACACCTATAATCCCAGCACTTTGGGAGGCCGAGGCAGGCAGATCACTTGAGGCCAGGAATTCCAGACCAGCCTGGCCAACATGGCGAAACCCCATCTCTACTAAAAATAACAAAAATTAGCCGACCGTTATGGCAGGTGCCTGTAGTCCCAGCTACTTGGGAGGCTGAGGCACGAGAATTACTTGAGCCCGGGAGGTGGAGGTTGCAGTCAGCCGAGATCATGCCACTGCACTCCAGCCTGGGCGACAGAGCGAGACTCTGTCTTTATTTATATATGTATATATGGCAGAAGGAAAAGGTGTGAGACAGTTTTCACATTTTGGCTAAATAGGTAAATAAAATGTGGGCATAATTCTGATTTGACAATATGTATGAACCAGGAGTAGGAAGGAGAATTTGCTAGTGAATTGAATGCCAGAAACACATTTCCTGAGCGGGTCTTTTGGAAGTATAACATTTTGGAAGAACTGAGTTCATGTACCAGTTCCCTAGGTTATTTCATGGTGATGTAAGTTCATTTTTCTAAGACATGCCTCAGTGAGCACTTTTTTAAGCTGCTGTTGATGCTATTTTTTTCTCACTTGCATTCTCTTGTATAGCGAGTACAGTTTCAGTGTCACTTTCCCACATGTAATCCTAATTATCCCAAGCCTAACAAGCACCCTGTGGAATAGGCAAAGCTGGTAATGTCTGCATTGAACAAATAAGGAAACAGACCCCAAGGAAGCCTGACTTTCCTGACACACTGAGTGTTTAATGCAGAGTTGAGTCTGAAACCCAGGTCACGCACTTTGAAAGGAAATAAAATGCATTACCTAGGGATCGCAGTGATGGTTGGGAAGAGTCAGTTCCAAGTAAAATAGAGCATCATTTGAAAGCTGTCGCTGGGCTCAGTCTAAGCCCAGTTGCTTGGTTCCCAGCTGTAAACTGAGGAGGTCAGATAGGTCTCTCCACAGGTCCCTTGAGATCCTCTGTTCTTTAGAGAGCTGTGAATGAATCTAAGGTAGCATTAGTATGAAAACTGATTTCAATTTGCTTATGTAATGTTTATCTAATTTCGTGTTTAATCATTTTTGCTATAGGTATTCTTAGTTATAAGATAAACTTTATTTTGAACTAGAGTGGGAAGGTGTGTAGACTTCATTGTGTTGATTTAATAAACTGTGATCATAGTTTATGAAGATGCAGAGTGTGAGAGTTTTAAAAAATAGTGTAACTTGGAAACCCAAACCTTATTTGAATATTATTTCAAAATTCCGCTGCTGATCCAGTGGGGTGGCCTAGTCGATAGGTTTAAATATTATTCAAGTGATGCTGCCGCATGTACTGTGAATACAAGGTACTTCAGTTGTATTTTCCTCAAGAAACTCCTTAGATATTGATCAGTGGAATAAAGTTATTGAGCAGCTGGGAACACCATCAGCAGAGTTCATGAAGAAACTTCAGCCAACTGTGAGGAATTATGTCGAAAACAGACCAAAGTATCCTGGAATCAAATTTGAAGAACTCTTTCCAGATTGGATATTCCCATCAGAATCTGAGCGAGACAAAATAAAAAGTAAGATATCCTTTTTTTCTTATACTTGTGTTTTGTAATTCAGGTGGTGCTTTCACTCTTTCATGTTTGTATTCTAAAAACCTGTGTTTTGGGAGAGAAAGTCATTTTAGGCCTGAAGTCTGAGGTACGAAGGCACTGAGGAGAGAAAGCTTAAAGGTCTAGAAGCTTTATCCTCTATAAGACGGCTTAATTGAAGCCTTTGGCCAAAATAAAAATAATCAAATCAGTCTGAAAGAATCTTATGTTACAGTTACAGCAACTGGAATTCAAAAAGTTTTCAGGTAAGAAGAACACTTAATGCAGATTCTAGAGTCAGAAGCGATGTGACAGTTGTTCGATGAAAAAGGTCCTTCCTCCCCACCTTCTCCTGCACCCTTTACTACAGTGTGATTGTTTAAGGAAAAAGAAAAGATTTGATTCTGTCCGCATGAAGGTAAACTGTGCCTTAATCAGAAAAGCCCCAGTCTTTGCTTATTCAGGTTGTGAACTTTAATTGACAAAACCTAGGTGAGCCTTATATTTAACTAAGTTATTGAACTTGTTTTTCTTTTTCCTAAATACCAATCTGTAGATTAAAAAAAAAAGTGTAAGTTGCCAGCACTGTATACAGCTAGGCCAGCCAGAAGCATCTGTGAGTGTTTTATCCTGTGGGAATGTGAGATTGTTGTGTGGTTTGAAAAGTCTGTTCTAATTTCATTTCGATGTGACTTAGAGAAAAATACTCCCCCGTGCCTCATGCCCACACTCTGGGCAGTGCCACCCGCAGCTCGGCAATTGCCACCTTCCTTGCTGTGGTTTCCCAGCCTTGGGCCCTGCCCAGACATTGGTCTGAGGCTGCCTGGTGCTCTTCCCCACCACCCTGGGAGCCCAGGTTTCTCTTCCCCTTGCAGATCCAGAGGCGTAAAACTACATTTGGAAACCTGGTTTGTCATGAAAGTGGACATTTGACTTTTTCTTAAAAATGTTTGGGTTATGGCTGGGTGCGGCGGCTCACGCCTGTAATCCCAGCACTTTGGGAGGCTGAGGCAGGCGGATCACGAGGTCAAGAGATCGAGACCATCCTGCCTAACACAGTGAAACCCTGTCTCTACTAAAAAAATACAAAAAATTATCCGGGCATGGTGGCAGACGCCTGTAGTCCCAGCTGCTTGGGAGGCTGAGGTAGGAGAATGGCGTGAACCCGGGAGGTGGAACTTGCAGTGAGCCAAGATTGCGCCACTGCATTGGGCGACAGAGCGAGACTCCGTCTCCGAAAAAAAAAAAAAAAATTTTGGGTTATATTCATCTTGAACCTATCAAACATTTCTCAAAATTAATATATCTTTGTTCTATCTGTGTTGTCATATTTAGTTCTTTATTGTATGATTCTGTTTGTTTCATATTAACAGCATTAATTTAATATTTGTTGTCACCCTAGCAAGTCAAGCCAGAGATCTGTTATCAAAAATGTTAGTGATTGATCCTGACAAGCGGATCTCTGTAGACGAAGCTCTGCGTCACCCATACATCACTGTTTGGTATGACCCCGCCGAAGCAGAAGCCGTGAGTATCTGTTTTGAAAAGATTTATATAGAGAGGCCAGGCTTATATTTCCTTGGATCTTGTCTGTCCGTCCAGAGTGGCTACATATGGGTAGCAAGTTCTCCATTTGGGGGCTCCCAGTTACAGAAAGGCCAAGTGTTGTCTGAGACCTGGGTCGCTTGCTCTTTTGCTGCTGGAGCCCCAGCTCAGAGTACCTCGGGAATGAACTTCCGCTTTGGTGCTACCAGTCTCCATTTTGCAAATGCTGCTGTGAGCTCATAGTTTATTAAGCATCTATTCTGTGCCATTGGCTTTGGTTACATCCTCTTGTTTAGGCCACTTAACCAGAGAGGCTGAGCAACTTGCTGAAAAATCACACGTCTGTTTATCCTTCCCTAAAGGCATTGTAGCTCCTGGTTCCCCCGCTGGAGGAGCTCCACTCTGAGTTTGGTGCTCACGTGCGTGTTTCTGTGTCAGCACTGGTGTGAGTGAGCTTTAGCTGTGAGGGAAATCACTGCGTAGTGGCAGGCTTCCTTCATGCCATGAGTGAAATACATGTTTATGTCATGGCCTGTGGTTTTGCCATCAGTTTAAACATTGTTTTATATAAAAAGAATCCAATTTATAAGCAGACTTTTATAACAGTCCATTTATGAGTTGGACATTGGATTTGGGAGTTCTCCCATGAAGAAAATGTAAAATTTGTTCTAAGAAACAACAGTACCTTCCATAGCTGCCAGCACAGTGCCTTGTCCATAATGGGTCTCTGGGAAACAGCCTGTGATGATGAGTTTCTAATGACATCTGGGCAGATGTCTGCGTTTTGAGGTCAGGTGATTATTAAGAGGAACATAATAACTCTTCTTTGGTTAACTTTTTCATAATTATTTTGATTCTAAAGTTGATATAATATCACATGACAAATCTTTATTAAACCACGTGTTGAATTAAACTAAATCCATATCATAAATAGACTAGAAGTCTTCCAAGCAATTTTACCTTTTTTAGTGCCTCATTTTTTTTTGAGGCATTACTGTTGACTTTACATATGATTTAATTTTTAGCCACCACCTCAAATTTATGATGCCCAGTTGGAAGAAAGAGAACATGCAATTGAAGAATGGAAAGGTAAAGATGGAGCTTATTTTGATCCTTCCTTTTGACATTTCTTCCAATCCTGTAGAGCAGAGGCTTTTCATTTTGTGACATTTCCCTTCAGGAAGGGGCAAGAAACCCTGCGACCCACTTAGCCTCTTTCTCCCCAGTTTCCAGTAGAAAATGAACTTGAAGAGAACAGAGTTAGAGAGGAACATTTATGAATTTCTTATCATTTGCTTCAAGAGGGAAAAATAATATTTTTTTCATGGCTTTTCACATATTGATTTATAAACTGAGCTTAGTAATTGTATCATACTTATATTGATTGATATGTTTTTAAGCCATGTAGTTGTACATATGTTTTAAAATCTAGTTTGGGGGAAATTGCAGATTGAAAATATGCAAATAGGTATTATTACCACTATAAGATTAACCAAACAACCCACAACAAACTATACCTGTAATGAAGAGGTTGAACTAACAATTTTTCATTAAGAAGCAGGATCAGTAGTAACTGAGAACCACAGTCAGAGTCAGTCAACACTGATGAGGGTCATGCCCCAGGGCCATCCTGGGGTGTGGGAGTGCCGGTTACCTGTGTGTGCCCGTGCTCAGCAGTGCATGCACACAGCGTGCTCACTGGCCTCAGTCAATGCTCACTGGCCTCAGCGAATGCTTGCAACGTGCTAATGTTGGTTTATGAATACTGACATTTTAGGAATCCCTCATCACTTACTTCGTAGGTAATTAGTTTTTCTTACAGATGAAAGTTGAGGAAAACCGAAGTTGAAATTAAGAAAAGACTTAGGCCTGTGGATTCATTTCTGGCCAGTGTGGGGGGCTCCTAGCCCACATGTGGGTGCTGGTTACCTTTGGAGAACCCCAAGTAACCACATAGAGAAACATATTCAAATGGGTGTGAGAATATCCAATCCCCTACAGTGTTCTGTGGGAGCCACTCCACTTCATAAAGCCCCCTTATGGATCCAGAACCACCCTACATGTTTTGCTGCCTTACTAGTTGCATTGAAAAAGATGTAATGTAGTCCAGGCGCAGTGGCTCACACCTGTAATCCCAGGACTTTGGGAGGCCAAGTGGGGCAGATGGCTTGAGGCCAGGAATTCAAGACAAGCCTAGCCAACATAGCGAAACCCTGTCTCTACAAAAACTACAAAAGTTAGCCAGGCATGGTGGTGAACACCTGTAATCCCAGCAATTTGGATGGCTGAGGCATGAGAATCACTTGAATCCAGGAGGTGGAGGTTTCAGTGAGTCAAGACCATGCCACTGTACTCCAGCCTGGATGACAGCATGAGACTGTCTCAAAAAAAAAAAAAAAAAAAAGAAGAAGAAGAAAAGAAAAGATATAATGTATCAAAATATGAATATTTTGGTCCAGGTAGACTATATTACTGAATTGACTCTGTCTTACAATTAAAAATAACAAATCGCAATGCCTTTGTTCCAGTTGATTTGGAAGCAGAGTTTAGAGATACAGTGAAACTGTTTAGAAACTGATTAAGCATTTTAACTTGTATTTTTATTAAAGAGCTAATTTACAAAGAAGTCATGGATTGGGAAGAAAGAAGCAAGAATGGTGTTGTAAAAGATCAGCCTTCAGGTTAGTGATTGCTTTAATTGATTGTATGATATTTTTCTTTCCCTATTCAACTTTTTTTTTTTGAGACAGAGTTTCGTTCTGTCGCCCAGGCTGGAGAGCAGCGGCGCGATCTCTGCTCACTGCAACCTCCGCCTCCTGGGTTCAAGCAATTCTCCTGCCTCAGCCTCCCGAGTAGCTGGGACTACAGGCACGCGCCACCATGCCCTGCTAATTTTTGTATTTTTAGTAGAGACGGGGTTTCACCATATTGGCCAAGCTGGTCTCGATCTCCTGACCTTGTGATCTGCCCGCCTCAGCCTCCCAAAGTGGTGGGATTACAGGCACGCACCACCATGCCTGGCTAATTTTTGTATTTTTAGTAGAGACGGGGTTTCAGCATATTGGCCAAGCTGGTCTCGATCTCCTGACCTCGTGATCCACCCGCCTCAGCCTCCCAAAGTGGTGGGGTTACAGGCGTGAGCCACCGCACCTGGCGTCTTTCCCGATTCAACTTTTATAAATGGCAGCAACATGTGAAATGCCAGCCTGGCTAGCATCAGATTTAAAAACCGCTGTATGAATAGCCAGCCTTTTTGGCTTGTCATAGTGGTGGTGGTGGTGGATGACATTTTACTGATGTGCCAGGCACTGAACTTTGTTATAAGCATTTCTCTTTCATCTTTGCAATAACTGCTGTCACCTCCATTTACAGATGAAGAAATTGAATTTAAAGCCTTTTCAATGTTGATAACCCTTTGTACTGGTCCCACCCAAAATGCCAATCTAAGTAAAATGGAGTATGGTATTCTTTTTGAGAAAATTGTTGATATCATTTTCCCATTTTTCTGCTTGATCTACTGATCTTCATAGTGGTGGAAGCCTCTAATGACCAGGTAGTTGTATGATCATGAGACTCTGATATGAGTCGTGTTCACTTACGTCTGAAGGATTCTTCCTGTTTACTAAATGAAACGCTCACGTTATATCATTGTCTCTCTCCCACTCCCACTGGGAAGCATGCACACACATGTGTGCGGATGTGCAGAGAGCACAGCTTACTTTTTATTCTTGAATTTTATGTTCAACATGACGTATGTGTCAAGCATCTAGAGATTATATAACTTCAGCAAGAACTTAGGTGCTTGTTAACTGAGCACACACGTATGACTGCAGACGTCGATCTCAGAGAGTGCATGTTGTGTTTTTATTCAAACCAGACTAAAATATGGATAGTAGGAAGTAGGATAGTTTCATTTGCTTTAAAAGATTAAAATGTCAGTTTTCTGGAGTTATAAAACCATAAAATATACAAGGCCACTAATTTTTTTCCTTTTTCTGGTATATAGTCTTTATTTATTGCAAAAGATTTCTTTGAAAGTTGATGCTTTTTTTCCTGTAGATTTAGTGTTTATGTTATAAATTGTTACAATTCAAGTGTCTGGTGACACTGGAATCCTAGTCAGGCTTAAGCTTTTGTGATACTGCATTTTCAGATAAATATAGCTGTGTCCTTTTGATGTCTGCTTGAAAGCAGCAGGTATTTTTTAAGTAGCTAACATGATTATACATGGCCACATATATGTTTAGCTACTGAGAAAAAAAGAAGAATCTTGCAAGGAAAGACATAGGAATATGGGACTCTTGGCCCAAAGAAAGACTCAAGGAAAAGTTCAGAAAGTCCAGCTGACTGACTTCTTGTCTATACTCATAGTTAGGATTGGGAAACTGCAAAAGGACAGAGCCGAGAAATGGCCTGCAGTCTCGCTGCCTGGATTTGCAGCAATGTCGTGCCTCAGATTTTATTATATTTGGTTTTCTTAGCACAGATGCAGCAGTAAGTAGCAACGCCACTCCTTCTCAGTCTTCATCGATCAATGACATTTCATCCATGTCCACTGAGCAGACGCTGGCCTCAGACACAGACAGCAGTCTTGATGCCTCGACGGGACCCCTTGAAGGCTGTCGATGATAGGTTAGAAATAGCAAACCTGTCAGCATTGAAGGAACTCTCACCTCCGTGGGCCTGAAATGCTTGGGAGTTGATGGAACCAAATAGAAAAACTCCATGTTCTGCATGTAAGAAACACAATGCCTTGCCCTACTCAGACCTGATAGGATTGCCTGCTTAGATGATAAAATGAGGCAGAATATGTCTGAAGAAAAAAATTGCAAGCCACACTTCTAGAGATTTTGTTCAAGATCATTTCAGGTGAGCAGTTAGAGTAGGTGAATTTGTTTCAAATTGTACTAGTGACAGTTTCTCATCATCTGTAACTGTTGAGATGTATGTGCATGTGACCACAAATGCTTGCTTGGACTTGCCCATCTAGCACTTTGGAAATCAGTATTTAAATGCCAAATAATCTTCCAGGTAGTGCTGCTTCTGAAGTTATCTCTTAATCCTCTTAAGTAATTTGGTGTCTGTCCAGAAAAAGTCGATTTATGTGTATTAATTGGCCATCATGATGTTATCATATCTTATTCCCTTTTATGCTATGATTTATTCTATCTTTTGTATTTCAGAAGACATATAATTAAATCTATTTAATAAATAAAAATATATAGCTTTTCTTAGATTTGTGATGTTTGGGGCTGAGAATTATCACGGCTAAAACCAAGACACTTATGTGGACATCTTGTTTTCTTTAAACTGTCTTGTCTGGGATGATTGTACATTCAGCTTTACTGCACGATACAATTTTAAGTTTTGCTTAGTGCTGCTTGAAATCCTAGCTACCTTATCTCTTTTCTTCTTGGTCTTCTAGACTTCTTATGAATTTAAAATGCTACCTAGAACTTCACCTTCTTTATTAGGTGCGTAACACTCCATCTTAATTAAATATGATGGCAGATAGGTTCCTGCATCCATGGCCTAACGTTGGAGTGGAATTTTACAAAATGCTCACTAGAGATCACTGCAGTCATTTCCTAAGTGCTTCCTTTGCCACAGACTGGCCTGGGTCCTTTATTTACCTTCCCTCATTCACTTTCCCTCGGCCAATACCACGTTCTTGATTTTCTTTCTTCACTGGAAGAAAGCAGATAAACTCCTCTTTGGTCTGTTTTCAGAGGCCAGGCTGATTCAGATGCCTGTTGCTATTGTTGCTCTCCATTGTTGGGAGGCATTCCTTTTCACAAGAATGTTCTGGGAAACTCTTCAGAGGACGTGAAGGAAATACCCTGAAGAGTCATGATTAACTATTGACTATTTTCTGATTTAAAACTGCTCACCTGAAATTGATACTTTTAGACTTTACGATCAGTAAATTATTCAGAATTCATGAAGATGCTGAGTATGTTAAGTGTCACTGCAGGAACGGAGCTGTGGTGATCACGTTTTGCCTGCCTGTGCCCATGTCTCTTCCCTTGAGCTTATTCTGTTGCTGATTCATATCTTGTGTTCAATTATTTTGGAAGCTTTTCAGTCGACATTCTGTAGAGTGTGTTCTGAGGAGGAACTGTGATAAGAAAGTTTATTATAAATATTATGTAAAATATATGGCTCTCTCTGCACCAGTTATATCTTATTGGTTGGTCATATCACTGGAAACTGGAACCTTTGATTAGCAAAATTAATATTGAAATAAGAAATAGTTCTTTTATATTGTGTCATTTGGACACTTTCAAGTACAAAATGGTAATAATAACTTGGATTGAGGCGGAAACACCTATTTTATGGCTATCTATCTAAACATCTTAAAATGGCCTTCTCTGTAATACACTTTCTTTTAAAAGACTTCACTAAATCTATCTTTAAAAGGAAAAACAAAAGGGAGAGGTTGAAAATGCGCGAGCTGCCCTGCACTGTGTGATGCTCCCTCCCCGGGAGACGTGGACGGGGGACGAGGCACCCGCAGACGCCCTTCTGCTCACTCGCTCCTCTGTGCATTCAGCGAGCCACTTGCCACAGATGGAGCCCGTGACGGTGTGGAGGGTTTCCTGGAAAGGCCATCTTCCACCAGGTAGAGGCGAGCGTGCCTAGGACAGGCCACAGGGCTCCACAGAAATACCTCACCCCAGCTTCAGGGTTCTCTCTCCTGAGCCTAGATTTGCCAGGGTCTTGGTGCCACGCAAATGGTTTCAAACTGATCTCTATGGATAAATGCTGATGTTGGTTAAAGAACTGAAAAATGTGCTCAACTGTTTCATCTTTTCTATTTTATTTTTGTAATTTATATTGTACACAACCCAGGAAGTAACTATTTTGGACATGTATTTTTATAAACCAGGTAATTTACTATTATCCTGGAATTTAGACTAGGTTTGTTTCATTTGTTGACTTAGTTTCCAGCCAAGAAGGAAACGACTGTCTCCCCCATGTCCAGGTCTCAGTTTCAAGGGCAGAGTCCAGAGAGCAGACAGAGTTCTGTGAGAGCAGGAGAGCAGTCTGGAAACCCTGGCTGTGCATACCGTGTCAGCCGTGGGCCTGGAGATGGGAGCAGGTGAGACGCAGAGCCCCAGTACTGAGAGGAGGAAGCCCTCTTACAGGGCCCCTTGCCCACCCCAAGTCCGTGTCTGAAACACGGAGCGGGTGCTGCTTCAACCCGCATTTAATGCTGTGTAAGTAGCGATAACCACGTACGAGTCTGTCTGGTTGATTTCTAATGTGACTCCTCTGGTATTTCCTCCTGGTAATAAATACAAGTGTGACCTTTCAGATTGCATATCTCAAAAGTAACATTGCTAATGTTTTATAATAAAATATATTATGTGTGTTTTGGTTGGTGAAAATAATACAGACTACATTTTAAAAGATAAATGTATAGCATGTCCAATTTTTGTGTGTTTTTACATGGCAATTAGATATTTCTCCATCACCATCTCTGATGACAGATTTAACATGAACACAGATAGATGATAAAGTGTCATGCTTTTGATCAATATTAGCAAGAGGTTTCACACTGAGAGGCAGAAACATTGCTGTTTGTTCTCTTATTGAAAATATTCTGCAAATTCCTAAATCTGTGTTTTCAAAACTAATGGCAGTAAGTTTTGACTTCACCAATATGCAGGTCCAATTCAGAGTATTGGTGTAATTGTTTTCTCATGAGGCGTGGCCAGGAGAATTCACCAGTCAGCCTTAGTCATGTTACTTAACGTCATTCATGGTGCTTGTGGCTTTGTGCCTGGGATGAGCCAAGTTCATCTGACGTCTGTGTTTGAAGCACTTCAGGCTGTTTAGTACTTAATACCACAGGAGTGGAAGGACACTCAGTGGCTCACTTTCTTTTCTCTGCTTAAAAGGACTAGAAGCATTCCAGAGAGATGAGTACCAGCTGTGTGTGTGTGTGTGTGTGTGTGTGTGTGTGTGTGTTTAAGACGGAGTCTCACTCTGTCTCCCAGGCTGGAGTGCAGTGGCACTATCTCGGCTCACTGCAAGCTCCGCCTCCCGGGTTCACGCCATTCTCCTGCCTCAGCCTCCGGAGTAGCTGGGACTACAGGTGCCCGCCACCACACCCGGCTAATTTTTTGTATTTTTAGTAGAGATGGGGTTTCACCGTGTTAGCCAGGATGGTCTCGATCTCCTGACCTCGTGATCCGCCTGCCTCGGCGTCCCAAAGTGCTGGGATTACAGGCGTGAGCCGCCGCGCCCGGCCCAGTTGTGTTTTCAAAGGTCTTGAAAGAAGGAAGATGTTTCTTGAGATACTGGGGTCTGGGTCTGGGTTCCATTTCTCTGTCCTATTCCCTCTTCCCTCTTTCACTGTAGACAGCACTGAAATGCTTTTTATTTATTGACTGAAGTAATACACATAGGTGGGGTGGGGGTTTTCAGGGAGGAGGGAGAGTGCCCATATTTCAAAATAACTTCATAATTAGCTACTTGCATTATCTTGAAGATTCTGTGGCTACTTTTGTGAATTTAAGCATAAGGTGGTTACCTTTGACAATAAGGCAGTTCTTTGATACTGTTTTAATCAGGAAAATTGGTAACAAAATCAGTAACAACAGTGACAGAGTGGTCAGTCACATCTCCTTGCAGCTGAATGTAACCGTGATGGAAGAGAGATGCGCGTCTCACCCTTCGGAGCTGGTCAAAGGCTGAGTCTTCAAGGCCTGGAGACCGCATGCTCTTCCGCAGTTAGAATGCCCAAGGGTCACTGTGAGCAAGAGTGTTTGCTCCTTCCATTTCCTTTCATGGTGTTTGAGAGTTGGAAGGGAAATCCAGAATCATTTTGTCTAACCCCCACCCTACAATAGTGAGGGGGCCTTACGCCCGAGAAAGAGGGTGCCTGGGCACCTCAGCACCAAGAAGGAGCCGTGGGTCTGCCCTGACCCCGTGGGTAGCATGTTCTTTCAAATCTCACTCTTCTCTTTTAGTCATAAACACTTTTGAGAATCTGCTGACATCTGTGACCTTCTTCCAAGAAAAATGCCATAAGCACAAAATTTTTGCCAAGCTTTCAGAGGAGCCCTGGACCCCAGTGGATACCATGTAAAGAGCCCCTTTCTTTTCTTTCTTTCTTTTTTTTTTTTTTTTTTTTTTTGAGACAGAATCTCACTCTCACCCAGGCTGGAGTGCAGTGGCGCGGTCTCAGCTCTCTGCAACCTCCGCCTCTCAGGTTCAAGCGATTCTGGTGCCCCAGCCTCCCGAGTAACTGGGATTACAGGCGTGCACCACCACGCCTAGCTAATTTTTGTATTTTTAGTAGAGATGGGGTTTCACCATGTTAGCCAGGTGAGTCTCGAACTCCTGAGCTCCAGTGATCCACCTGCCTCGTCCTCTCAAAGTGCTGGGATTACAGGCATGAGCCACTGTGCCCGGCCAAAAAGCCCCTTTCTAGACATAGCTCCTAGATGCTTTATGTTCTCGGGGGAGCAGAGCCTCAGGAGGGTTCAGCTGCCTTTTCTACCCTTGCTGGCCCTGACTCATTTGTACACAAATCTTGGGTGTACAGGGCATCGTCACTCAGCTCCAGCACTGGTCGGCATTCTTACTTGATGGCAGAAAGAAAAGACAAGGACTTTGTTCCAGTGAACTGGGTCATTTCCATCACTTCCTCCACATGGAACTCAGGAACTAAATGGAAATGTACAAAGACACAGTTATCATTAAACACATCTCCTAATTGCAAAGGAGTAGTTCTGGCTGAGCTTTGAATTAAAATCTTTCACTTAAAACCATATTTTACATTCATTCTCCAAAAATATATTGTCTCCTCTTCCCTCAATCTCCCTGTGATTTTCTTATAACTTTTATAAATATGCTTTGAAATTAATTTCATTCACACATTTTGAAGTATGCTTTGAAGTTAACTTCATTTGCTCATCCAGAGTGGAATGCACAGAGGGACTCTCTGGGTCACACCCATTCAAGTAGGCATCAGCGTGAAGAGTTCCTCACAGCTGGTCACCCAGCCCCTGTTCACATGAAGGGAATTCCTTTCCCACTGAATCGTTTGTAGTTTTAACTGCTAGAACGTTCTTTCTTAAACTGAACTGACACCTGGCTCCTGTAACTTCTGCCCATGGCTCCTAGACCTTTCCTCTGGGCAAAATAGAGCAAGTCCGACCTGCTTTGAATAGCAGGCTGTAATATGTTAGTTGGAAAGGTAAGCTCCAAGTCTTCCCTTCTCTATGTTAAACTCAAAGTTCATCCAACCCTCTCCTATGAAAAGGCCCCCACTACTGAGGAGGCTGAGGCAAGAGCATTGCTTGAGCCCAGGAGTTTGAGGCTGCAGTGAGCATTGATGAGACCACTGTAGCCTAGGCGACAGAGTGAGACCCCTTCTCTAAAAATAAAAATCTCCCAGAGCCTCACCACCTTGGGGACCCACTTGTCAGCTGCACCCCTAAAATATGGGCCCAGAAGTGGACACAGTATTCGAGATACAGCCTGAGCAGGGCACCCTCTAAGGGCCTGCATTAATTGACACACTGTCGGGTGGCCTCAGCCTTGAGAGCCGTGTCACACTCTGGGTCTAGGTCCATCTCAGTTCCTGAATTTTGTGATGTTGCAGAGTCAATCCCAGTTCTGTCATCGCCACAAACATTCTCTCCCAGCTTGACATTTGTGGTCCAAGGGCATGAACCTGTCTCCTGAACCTTCCTCTGCATGGTGATGAACAGCCTTGAGAGCAGTGCCTTCAGGCAGTCATCAGGACAGGTCCGTGTGGCTGTTGTCTCCCCCGTCAGCGGGGCAGTTCAGCTCTGCAGCCTCGCCACACAGCTGCAAGGTCACAAAGAAGGAGCTTGACGGATGGGTCACAGAAAGCATGAATGCACTTCAGCGTCATTCTCTGCTCCATTTACTAGTCACATTTCAAGAAAAAGAAATGAGTTTGGCACCCTCCCTGGCTCTCAGAGTGCATTCTTTTATTTTTACTTGAGAGGGGCAGGTGGTGAGCGCCCACCTCCCCCTTGATAGCCACATTTTTGCTATCCTGTGGCCACTTAGAAAACATGGTGTTTTGTCCCAGTGTCCATAGGTCCGAGTGAGTAGGGGAGCAGGGCACTCAGTGGCCTTGTGTTGTTTCGGTGTGAGTAAAGAAGTGATGTGTTTTGAAGCTGTGTGACTCTGATTCCACAAAGGACCATACAACCAACGCCAGGCAGCTCTCCTGTTGCCTGACGACTACAAAAATGCCTCCATCAGGGCAGAACCTGGCTCACGCTGGGTGTGACTTCAGACGCTTCTCACCTTGAGCATCCCTTGCCTTTTTTTCCAGGGCCTAGTCAACACCCCATGCATTCATAGTGCCCGATTTCTGGTTGTCATGTCCTTAAGGATCTTGTTATCCACCATGGAACCAACTTACAGCGCCAGGCAGGCTGTCCTGCAGGATGTGCACCCTCCAGCTTTGTGTGTCCACTTCTAAGAGTTTGCCCTGACCTGCTCCCCATCCCCAGGATTTCCTGGAATCTGGAAGGTACAGATAAAGCTTTGCTAGATTCACCTGCATCTTTTGGTTGTAATACATTTAAGTGATATTGTGTCCTTTCTATTAAATCACACCAAAGGACATTTCGTATCTTCTTAACCCACTGTCAGTGATGCTAAAACTTTGATTTTTGATTTTTAAGTGTTTTTTAGAGGCAGGGTTTCTCTCTGTTGCCCATGCTAGTCTCAAGCTCCTGGGCTCAAGCAGTCCTCCCTCCTCAGCCTCCCAAAGTGCTGGGAGTATAGGTGCGAGCCATCACACCAGGCCAGTGATGCTAAAATTGGCCACTGGTTAGGGTGATGACAGTCCCGTCCTCCGTCACTCAGTCACATTTTCCTCCCTGTGAAGAGGAAGTTGTCCACGTGGGCTTCCTTTGGGGGTGCCTCATCCACCATGTCGCGTGCTGTTGGCCTCAGTTGACAGTCCTGGCCATGAGCAAGAATTCTTTGAGGGCTCGGGGAAGAGTGACCTCCTTAATTTGTCCCGTTGCCATTATGTGCTGGCAGTTTGCTGTCAGCGAGAGCTCCCACGTGTCAGCCAGGGCTGTTTGGTGGTCCTGTGCCCCGCCTCAGCCAAAAGGCAACCCTGCACCCTGTTCTTCCCCTTAAGTGGTCAGGGCTCAAGGCGTGGTGTTGGTTTCATAGCTGCCTCAGGCGGCATCACACCTTATTTCTCTGTGTTTTTCATTCCTCTTTTTGAGACTTGACTTGCCAAAACTGTAGTCAGGGAAGCTCTTCAAAGCTGAGTCCCCTGTCCTGTTGGCTGACCCCATTACATTTTAAATTTTAATTTTGAAATAAGAAAACTTGCAAAAATAGCACAAAGAATTCTTCCTCACCCAGATTCTCCAAATGTTATTTCACCACCTGCTATATCCTGTCTACATGCATGCGTCTGTACATGCGTTTATACGGATATGCAGTCATTCATTTCACCATTGATTTTTTGCAAGCAACCAGATTTTAAAAGTGTCTTAACTTCGGCCGGGCACGGTGGCTCACGCCTGTAATCCCAGCACTTTGGGAGGACAAGGCGGGCAGATCACAAGGTCAGGAGATGGAGACCATCCAGGCTAACATGGTGAAACCCCGTCTCTACTAAAAATACAAAAAATTAGCCAGGCGTGGTGGTGGGTGCCTATAGTCCCAGCTACTTGGGAGGCTGAGGCAGGAGAATGGCGTGAACCCGGGAGATGGAGCTTACAGTGAGCCAAGATTGCACCACTGCACTCCAGCCTGTGCGACAGAGTGAGACTGTCTCAAAAAAAAAAAAAAAAGTCTCAACTTCATGTATACATCATGTATACACATGTATTTTATAGACAGACACAGGTATAGGTAGCCATGTACATGTGTGTCTGCATAATAGCGTTTGTAGTGAGCTACCTACATGCGGCTGAATGCGTTGGTGTTGACTTCAGAGAAGCTACTAAGGAGTCAGTGTGGCTTCTGAGAGGCCTAAGGAGTAACTCGTAACCTTTGGACATTTTTCTAGACCTCAAGACTTCATAAATAAAGCTCCAAGAATGATACCAACTCTGCTGATGGAGGTGGAGATGAAACAGGGAGAGAGACCAGAGGAATGTGAGAGGATGTTAGGGACGCACCTGGGTTTGTGGGATGGATGCCTAACATTTTAAAAAATTGTTAAAATTGATAGACAAAAATAAAATTCATTACTTGGGCCAGAAGGAAATTCAGTCAGGAAAAGGGGAGAAAAAGAAAATATCACCCTTGCTTCTTGGCCTTTTGGCTGAGATCAAGTATAGTGTTTGTTCTTATCAGAAATATGGTAAATAGGAAAAATGAAATAAAAGCATAAATAAGCCCTAATATACCAGTAGTTAAAATAAATGTAAATGACCAAAACACACTAATCAAAAAGAGTTAAGGTCCGTGAGCAAATAGAAAACCTAACAATATATAAAATTACAAATCATGCACCATGTAGTATATGTATAATATATAACTCTGTGTGCGTGTGTATGATGATTGACAGTACCATGAGGAGAAACAAAATACCAAAAAGTGTGGCTTGAAATTTGAATGCACCCCTCTCAGGAATGGACAGGTCAGGTGTGTGAAAAAGGAGCGAATAACTAGAAGACTGGAATGCCACAGCTCTCTACCTGGGCCCAGAGAGAGCACTAGACCCAACAGGCAAATTCTTTTCAACACAGGGAACTTACAGGAATACTGCCTGTATCAGTCCACAGAAGAAGTCTCAGTAAATCCCAAAGTCAACATCATAGGATAATGTGATACAATTCAAAATAAATTTTAAAATATCTTACACATCTGGAGACTAACAATACACTAAGCAATCTAGGTGACAGAGGAAATCATAAGGAAAAATTTGAAATTCCTAAAAGTGTGTGGCCTCAACAAAGTATGTGCCTAATTTGGTAAGACCCAGCCAAGGGTTAAATATGTTTATTAAGAATAAGACAGATTTGTCTTTCCAGCCAGCGCCAGGACAGCTGGCACAAGCACCACAAGACCGGGGGCAAGAGAACGCCCAACGACGAGAAGTGGAAGTATGAGCTGGGGCGCCCTGCTGCCAATGCCAAGATCAGCCCCCACCACATCCACACAGTCCGTGTGCAGGGAAGTAACAAAAAATACTGTGCCCTGAGGCTGGATGTGGGGAGTTTCTACTGGGGCTCAGAGTGTTGTAATTGCAAAACCAGCATCATCGACGCTGTCGACAATGTGTCCAAGAATGAACTGGTCCGTACCGAGACCCCGGTGAGGAGCTGCATCACACTCATTGACAACACACTGTATCAGCAGTGGTACGAGTCCTACTATGTGCTGCTCCTGGGCCGCAAGAAAGGGGCCAAACTGATTCCTGAGGAGGAAGAGATTTTAAACAAAAAATGATCTAAAACATTCAGAAGAAGTATGATGAAAGGAAAAAGAATGCCAAAATCAGTCTTCTGGGGAAGCAGTTCCAACAGGGCAAGCTTCCTGCGTGCATCGCATCAAGGCTGGGACAGTGCGGCCGGGACATTGTGGCCAAGCAGATGGCTACGTGCTAGAGGGCGAGGAGTCAGAGTTCTATCTTAGGAAAATCAAGGCCCGGAAGGGCAAATAAATCCTCATCCTTTCAGTCTCCACCCATGTAATAAAGGTGTTTATTCTGTCAAAAAACAATTTTTTAATGAGTTCAAAGACCAAAAAAAAAGAGAAAAAATAAATAAACCAAAAAAGGAAAAACAAAACAAAAAAAATGAGTTCAGCATTCAACTCAGGAGGCAGAGAATAGAGCAACAGAGCAAGCCCAGAGAAGCAAAAACGGAGGAATAATGAAGATAAGAGCAGGGATCAAGAAACCAGAAGACAAATTGAGAGAAAAAAATTAGCAAAACCCCAAAGGTTAATAACTTAGACAAATCTCTGGCAACACTGATGAAGAAGAAAAAGTCAGTGCAAGTAACATGCAAAACGGCAGACGGAGATAACTGTAGGCATGCAGGGTTCCAACAGATGTGGTTGTCCACATGAAGCAGATATTCGTAGAAATACCAAATTGGCTCAAGAAGAAAGATTAGAAGAAATACCAAAATTGGCTCAAGAAGAAGAATAGCTATGCACGTCACACATTTGAACATGTTTGATGTAATACTGACAGTTTTATGAGGTCAGTATTATTAGCTCCATCTTAAAGTCAGGGAAAGAGAGGCAGGAAGAGAACCTGAGTTCCCACCGTTCCCTTCCTTCAGAGCTCCTTTGGCTTATTGGCCAAATTCAGTTCCTTACTGTTGTAGGACCGAGGTCCCCATCTCCTTGCTGGCTGTTAGCTGGGGCCACCCGTAGTTCCTAGAGGCCTCTCTGCGTCCTTACAAGTGGCCTCTACATCTCAGAGCCAGCAGGTGCGTGTCGAGTCTCTCTCACGCTTGCAATCTCCGACTTCCCTTCTGCTGCATATATTCTGCTCCAGCCAGATAATTTTCTCTGCTTTTAAAGGCTCATGTGATTAGATGGGGCACACCCAGATAATTCAGGATAATCTGCTTATTTTAAATCTTTTAACTTTACATCTTTGTAGTTCTTGTTGCCATGTAACGTAACGTATTCACAGGTTCCAGGGATTAGGAAGGGGACATCTTTGAGGAGCCATTACTCCGCCTACCACAGCAGACACTGCCCAACGATTTTCCCAAGTCATTTTTTTCCATTTACATTCTCACCAGTGGTAGATGAGAATTCAAGTTGCTACATATCCTCTCTAACCTTTTCCTGCTTTAAGGTAAGGTAACCCATCTTCTCCTCTGTTTTACCCATTCTGAGGGTGGGTAATGGTCTTGGTTGTAATTTGCAGTCAGTGGTGACTATTCAAGTTAAGCACATTTTCATGTTTATTGACATATGAATATCTTTTGTGAAGTTCCTTTTCAAGCCTTATACCCATTCTTTTTCAGAGATTCTAATTCTCTGTCAAAATTTTTTATCCTTTTACCAGTTTGTCATCTTTCCCTCTATTTTCTTGAACCATAGTTATTTTCTTTTTCCTTTTTTTTTTTTTTTTTTTTTTCTTGAGATGGAGTCTCACTCTGTCTCCCCCAGGCTGGAGTGCAGTGGCGCAATGTCACCTCACTGCAAGCTCCGCCTCCCGGGTTCACGCCATTCTCCCATCTCAGCTTCCTGAATAGCTGGGACTACAGGCGCCCGCCACCACGCCTGGCTAATTTTTTGTATTTTCAGTAGAGATGGGGTTTCATCATGTTAGCCAGGATGGTCTCGATCTCCTGACCTCGTGATCTGCCCGCCTCGGCCTCCCAAAGTGCTGGGATTACAGGCGTGAGCCACCGCATCCGGCCCAGTTATTTTATTTTTTCGAAGTATTTTTATTTTAAAGTCCTCATCTGCTCATTTCAGTATCTGGGTCATTGGTGGGGCAACATCTATTGTTAGTGGCCGTGTATAGTGTATAGTAATTTAGTGTATAGTCTATAGTAATTTTTTACTGTGTGCTAAACACCCCCACTCCAGGTCCCACTCACCCCACAGCCTCAGAATTCAGCAAATGCTTTAGGGAGAAATTAGCCTCAACTCTCCAGTCTTCTGCACGTGCTAAAAGCTTTGCTGGTTCTCTTCCTCCCAAAAGTAGCCCTTTGTCTTCTTTAAACCCCATTTCCCCAGTCCATGCATAGAACCAAGTTCACCGTGGAAGAGTTTTCCCCCTCGGGAATTTTAGTCCATCTAGTCTTTGTGCTTCCATGACTCTCTGGTGCCTTTGAAAATGTGTTCAGCTTTTTCTGGTTATCAGAAGGAACACTGGTCTGCCACAATGTACTACCGAGAAGCAAAGGCCCTTTTGACTTTTTATTATGAAAATGCTCTCATATAGGAAAGAGAGAATGGAATAATGAACACTCTTCTTTATTCCCTTGGCTTAACAGTTGTTAACTTTTTTTTTAGTATCTCTTGTTTTTGACTGAATTGTGTCTCCTACCAAAATCCTTATGTTGAAGTTCTAACCCTCAATGTGACTGTATTTGGAGTCAGTTACCTTTTAGGAGGTAACTGACATTAAATGAGGCCATAAGGGTGGGTGGCCTTGTAACTAGAGGATGAGAGAGAGGTCCATCTCTCCACATGTATGCACTGAGGAAAGACCATATGAGGACACAGGGAGAAGGCAGCCGTCCACAAGCCAGGAAGAGAGTCCTCACCAGAGCCCGAACATCCCAGCACCCTGATCTCAGACTTCCAGCCTCCAGACCGTTTAAGAAAATAAGTTTCTGGGCCGGGCGTGGTGGCTCACACCTGTAATCCCAGCACTTTGGGAGGCCAAGGCAGGCAGATCACGAGGTCAGGAGATCGGGACCATCCTAGCCAACACGGCAAAACCCCATCTCTACTAAAAATACAAAAAATCAGCCGGGCGTGGTGGCGGGCGCCTGTAGTCCCAGCTACTCGGGAGGTTGAGGCAGGAGAATGGCATGAACCCGGGAGGTGGAGCTTGCAGTGAGCCGAGATCGCACCACTGTACTCCAGCCTGGGCGATAGAGCGAGACTCCATCTCAAAAAAAAAAAAAAAAAGGAGTTTCTGTTGTTTAACCCAACCCAGCGTGTGGTATTTTGTTATGGCAGCCTATGCTGACTAATATGTCTTCTTTACTAAGTAATTTATTGACATCATTAAATTTTATCCCTAAATTTTCCAGTATCTGTCTTTAAAAACTAAAGTTAATGCCAAGTCTATATTCAAGTTTTCTAAATTACAGAACTTTTTTGAAAGAAAAACAGTTGTACTAAATCCCAGTGCTGCTTTAAATTGTTTGTGTTATCTTATTTAGGTATATTTGAACATAAAATCAAGTATAACCAGTACGCTGAATAAGCAGGGCCTATGTGACATAACTAATATGCGATTTTATTTTACTCCCTGACTCCTTAACAGTTAGTCAGTGGGGGAGCAATTGATTAAAAACATTGATAGACCCCATGCTCTTTCTGGTCTCATAGAAAACAGAAAACTTAGTCTAAGCAAAAAATTCCGTTTCAGTTTAGTTATTAAAATGGCTAGTGCTGTGTGATATTCAAACTTGCCAGATTGATTCAGAGATAAATCTTCTACCTTCCCTGCTTGGGATATTCAATATACAGGAAGGCAGGGAAGGTGGCATGGGATATTCCTTCCCTTCCCCATATTTCGCTTCTATCCCTCCTCTCTTTTATTACTAGCTTGAATTTTTTTTATCCTACTAGGGTCAAACTAGGGAGCAGGAGATAAGGGATGGGAAAGTCCCACACTTCACTGGCCCATCACACTATGGACTTGAACTCCCCCGTCTTTGAGGATCTGTTTCCCAGGACACCACTCCTGATACCAGGCTGGGTCACCAAGTGGGGACCAGTCAGGGAAACAGGACCCACACTAGGTATTTCAACAAAGAATTGAAGGTAGGGACTTGGCTAAACAGATGTTGGAAGACTTAGAGAACCAAAAAGGAAACTGAGGTAACAAATAACTTTTAAGAGGTAGCTACCACCCTCTAGGGATTAAGGATTAAAGGGAAGAGTGCATCTGGGCTTATCAGAGCCTGAAAGTTCAGAGAAGGGCCCCACGGAGAGGGAACGAGACCTGGGAGGAGCAGCATGGCCAGGCTGATGGTAGGCCCTGTGGGAGTGGTGATGAAGCTGTCCTGGGAGAGCAGAATGAAGCTAAGTCTGGAACCAGCCGCCCCTGTTGGCATGAAGGGCTGTTGCTGACATGCCACCATCAGGACAGTGGGCACGACGGGAAGGAGCAAGTGCCTTCTTGTTTCCTTCTAGAACCTCCCATTTGCAAGGTCAACAAGGAGTCGGCTGAGAACGGAGAGATGTGTAGCTCAGCCGAGGCTAAGCATAGGAGCGAGACTTGGAGCTGAGAGACAGCAGCTTGTTATCTGGCACGAGGAGACGGGGTCCTTCCCCGCCCCTCGTTTTGCTCCCATGTCACTTCCTCCTCTTCAGTTTCGGACCCCACCAAGCTCAAAGCAGGGAGAAGGAGGGGAGGGGCACAGAAGGTCATCCACCCCATGGCTCTCTTGTAGGAAAGCATCAGGCTGTCTGGCCTGGCCTGTGTTTACACATGTCTTGTTCTCGAATGGAACGCAGTTGGGGTGCTCACAACATCCCCTCACAGCCTGCCTCCGTGATCTCCCTGGGCAGTTCTTTTTTTTCTTTTTGGAGACGAAGCCTCGCTCTTGTTCCCCAGGCTGGAGTGCAATGGCGCAATCTCGACTCACTGGAACCTCCACCTCCTGGGTTCAAGCGATTCTCCTGCCTCAGCCTCCCGTGTAGCTGGGAATACAGGCACCTGCCACCAAGGCCGGCTAATTTTTGTATTTTTAGTAGAGACGGAGTTTCGTCATGTTGGCCAGGCTGGTCTCGAACTCCTGACCTCAGGTGATCCCCCCGCCTCAGCCTCCCAAAGTGCTGGGATTACAGGTGTGAGCACCCGGCCAACTCCCTGGGCAGTTCCTGAAATCCAGGCAAAGCCACTTCTCGCTTCATCCCAGGGCTGGTTACGTAACATTTAGGGGCCAGAGCGAAATGAAAAGGTGGGGCTTGAAAATCAGGGAAATCGTGCTATTAGCGTTAAAGCACTTTTTTCCTTTCTGGCTCACTCTCTCTCCCCTTGTCCTGGCATTTTTATGTGCCATTTAATGTTATTCTAAGTAAATAAAATATGAGGTTATCATTAAAATGTAAGATGAACATTACTGTTGGTTTTTACATTGTTCAATGCTTATTTTAAATGCAAATATAAAATAATGCCTATACAGAATCACTGAAATTACACAATTTGTCTTGTGTAGCTTATACATGCATAAGGATTTCATTCTTACCAGGGCAACTCTGCATAAGGCCAACTCAACCACAGTCACGCGCCATATAATGGCCTTTCAGTCTACCGCGGACCATGTAAGACAGAGGTCCCATAAGATTATAATACTGTATTCTACCTTTTCCATGTTTTGAGGCCAGGTGTGGCGGCTTATGCCTATAATCCTAACACTTTGGGAGGCTGAGGTGGGAGGATCGCTTGAGGCCAAGAGTTCAAGACGAGCCTGATTGACATAGTGAGACCCCATCTCTACAAAAAATGAAACAATTAGTTGGGTGTGGTGGCATGCATCTGTGGTCTCAGCTACTCAGGAGGCTGAGGTGGGAGGATCTCCTAAGCCCAGAAGTTGGAGGCTGCAGTGAGCTGTGGTCGTGCCACTGAACTCCAGCCTGGGCAACAGAGTGAAATCCCATCTCAATCAACAAACGCATATATTTTGTTTAGATACAAAAATACTTAGCACTGTGTTACCATTGCCTACAGCATTCAGTACAGCAACTTGCTGTACAGGTTTGTGGCCCAGGAGCAATAGGCTTTGCCATACAGCCTAGGTGCTGTGCCATCTGGGTTTGTGTGAGTACAACCTGAAGTTCTCACAATGACAACATCACCTAACACATTTCTCAGAATGTGTCTCCGGTGTTAAGCGAGGTATGACTGTCACTTTTTGACCTATACACATTCTACCTACTCTCTCCACCTGCAGCTTACTGATGAGTGCGGAAGGCTGACAGGGAAAGGAAGGACTGGCCCCATCTTCCCCTTTCCTTTTCTGTCACTATTTTTGGCTCTGTGAATGACTGATACAGGGAAGCAACCCGAGTGAGAAAGGCTATGATCGGGAAGAAATGGAAACCCTGAACAGACAAGTAATGAGTTCCAAAATTGAATCAGTAATAAAACACCCACCAAGCAGAAAAATCCCTGGACCAGACAGATTCACAGCCAAATTCTACCAGACATATAGAATAACTTGTACTAATCCTGCTGAAACTATTCCAAAAAATCAAGGCCAAGAAAGGGACTCCTCCCTAACTCATTCTATGAGGCCAGCCTCATTCTGATACCAAAACCTGGCAGAGACACACATGAAAAAAGAAAACTTCAAGCCAATGTCCCTGACGAACATAGATGCAAAAATTCTCAACAAAATACTTGCAAACCAAATCCAGCAGCATATCAAAAATCTAATCCACCTTGATCAAGTAGACTTTATCCCTGAGATGCAAGGTTGGTTCAACATACACAACTCAATAAATGTAATTTATCACATAAACAGAACTAAAAAGAAGAGCCACATGATCATCTCAAGAGATGCAGAAAAGGCTTTTGGTAAAATTCAACATCCCTTCATGTAAAAAACCCTTAACAAACTAGGCATCAAAGGAGCATACCTCAATAAGAGCCAAATATGATAAACCCACAGCCAACATCGTATTAAATGGACAAGAGCTGGAAGTATTCTCCTTGAAAACTGGTACAGTACAAGGATGCCCTCTCTCACCACTCCTTTTCAACGTAGTATTGGAAGTCCTAGCCGGAGCAATCAGGCAAGAGAAAGAAAGAAAAAGCATCCAAATAAGAAAAGAGGAAATCAGATTATCTCTTTTCTCAGAAGATGATTCTATACCTAGAACACCTCTTATTCTCTGCCCAAAGGCTCCTGGATCTGATAAACAACTTCAGCAAAATTTCAGGATACAAAATCAATGTACAAAAATAAATAGCATTTATTTACACCAATAACATCCAAGCTGAGGGCCAAATCAAGAATACAATCTCATTCACATAGCCACAAAAAGAATAAAATATCTAAGAGTATAGCTAACCAGGGAGGTGAGAGTTCTTTACAGTGATAATCACAAACCACTGCCCAAAGAAGTCAGAGATGACACAAAACAACATGTTTATGGATAGAAGAATCAATATCGTTAAAATGGCCATACTATCCAAAGCAATTTACAGATTCAGTGCTATTCCTGTCAAACTACCAATGACATTTTTCATAGAATTGGAAAAAACTATTCTAAAATTCATATGGAACCAAAAAAGAGCCCAAATAGCCAAAGCAATCCTAAGCAAAAAGAATAAAGCCAGAGGTGGCACACCACCTAACTTCAAACTATACTGCAGGGCTACAGTAGCCAAAACAGCATGGTGTTGCTATAGAAACAGACATATAGGCCAATGGAACAGGTTAGAGAACCCAGAAATACAACCATCTGATCTTCGACAAAGCTGACAATAACAAGCAATGAGGAAATGATTCCCTCTTCAATAAATGGCACTGGGATAGCTGGCTAACCATATGCAGAAGATTAAAAGCAGACCCCTTTCTTATGTCATATACAAAAATCAACTCAAGATAGATTAAAGACTTAAATGTAAAACCTAAAACTATAAAAGAAAATCTAGGTTGTACCATTCTGGACATTGGCTCTGGCAAAGATTTTATGACAAAGACTCCAAAAGCAATTGCAACAAAGATTGACAAGCAGGACCTAATTAAAGAGCTTCTGCACAGCAAAAGAAACTATCAATAGGGTAAACAGAAAACATGCAGAATGGAAGAAAATATATGCATCTGACAAAGGTCTAATATCCAGATTCTATAAGGAACTTAAACAAATTAACAAGGAGAACACAACCCCATTAAAAAATGGGCAAAGGATATGAACAGACACTTCTCAAAAGAAGACATACAGATGGCCAACATCTATATGAAAAAATGCTCAACATCACTAACTGTTAGAGAAATGCAAAGCAAAACCACAATGAGATACCATCTCACACAAGTCAGGAATGGCTATTACCAAAAATAACAGATCCTGGCGAGCTTGCAGATAAAAGGGAATGCTTATACACCGTGGGTGGAAATGTAAAGTAGTTTGGCCACTGCGGAAATCATTTTGGATATTTCTCAACTAAGAGGTGAAGTGCCATTTGACCCAGCAATCCTTTACTGGTTACATACCCAGAGGAAAATAAATCATTCTACCAAAAGATACATGCATGCGTATGTTCAACACAGGACTGTTCACAATAGCAAAGGCACGGAATCAACATAGGTGCCCATTGATGGCAGATTGGATAAATAAAATGTGGTACACCATGGAATACTACACAGCCATAAAAAAGAACTAAATCATGCCCTTTGCAGCAACATGGATGCAGCTGGAGGCCATTATCCTAAGTGAATGAATGCAGGAATAGAAAACCAAATACCACACGTTCTCATTTATTTTTATTTTATTTTATTTATTTTATTTATTTACTTTTTTGAGACGGAGTCTTGCTCTGTCACCCAGGCTGGAGTGCAGTGATGTGATCTCCGCTCACTGCAAGCTCCACCTCCTGGGTTCACGCCATTCTCCTGCCTCAGCCTCTCCAAGTAGCTGGGACTACAGGTGCCCGCCACCACGCCCGGCTAATGTTTTGTATTTTTAGTAGAGACGGGGTTTCACCGTGTTAGCCAGGATGGTCTTGATCTCATGACCTCGTGATCCACCCACCTCCGCCTCCCAAAGTGCTGGGATTACAGGCGTGAGCCACCGCGCCTGGCCTTTATTTTTATTTTTTGAGATGGAGTCTCACTTTATTGCCCAGGCTGGAGTGCAGTGGCACAATCTCAGCTTACTGCAACCTCTGCCTCCTGGGTTCAAGCAATTCTCCTGCCTCGGCCTCCCAAGTAGCTGGGATTACAGGTGCCTGCCAGTATGCCTAGATAATTTTTTTGTATTTTTAGTAGAAATGGGGTTTCACCATGTTGGCCATGCTGGTCTCGAACTCCTGACCTCGTGATCCACCCGCCTCGGCCTTCCAAAGTGCTGGGATTACAGGCGTGAGCCACCGTGCCCGGCCAACATGTTCTCATAAGTGGGAGCTGAACACTGAGTACATTTGGACACCAAGAAGGGAACACTAGACGCTGGGGCCTACTTGAGGGTGGAGGCTGGGAAAAGGGTGAAAATTTAAAAAAAACTATCAGGTACTGTGTTTAATACCTGAGTGATGAAATAAAGTGCACACCAAACCCCCACGACATACTATTTATCCGTGTAGCAAACTCGCACTATACCCCCGAATCTAAATAAAAGTTGGGAAGGGGGAAAAAAAAAAGAAAGAAAGGCTATGATCAGGTCACGTGGCCATTCGTGGTTTTTAGGACACCATTGCCTTCTCTCTGTCTGACGCAAGTTCTGCTTAGAACAGGAAGCATGGCCCTGGGGCTGTCAGTGCCCCGCTGACTCAGTTGTCCAGTACTGTGCCTACCTGGAACCTGCCTGAGTCTGGGCGGCCTGAAACAGCCGTCCCACCAGCACCCTGCCTACAGGGGCGTCCTGAGCCCTAAGTGTGAATGGGGCAAGCAAGGAGTCGCGTGGACACGCAGCCTGAATGTGTTTCCTCACAAGCATACTCCGTGGTCCCAGTGGACTTAGCAACCACAAATTCAAAGATCAAATTACTAAGAACTTTCAGATGGTGACAGGCTAAGGGCCCGCACACCTGCCCAGGTCGCAGCCCTGCAGGGGCTCTGTTCAGCCTGGGGATTCTGCAGTCCTGCAGGGTCTCCTCCCCGGCCCCCGCCAGTGCTTCGCACACGGCGCACATGTGGCCCACCAGAAACCCTCACCACGTTCGCCACAGCTCCCTGCAGCACCTCCTGCCGACGTTCACGGCAGCCGCTCACTCTTGCTTGGAGGTTTTCTGTCCTGTGAACCTAAAAACTTTGCCACACGTGTGCCCAGGTGTCCAGCCTGTTCGCCAAGGTGCCTGATTCACATGTGCTGAATGAGCAAACACGGGCACCCCTGGCAACTTCCCACAAGGACATGGGCACCCTGGCTCCCCGACAGCCCGTGGCACGTTCCGGTTGTCTGCGGGCCCTCTGGGAAAAGCGACAGGCCCAGCCATAATGTACGGGAAGGAAACAGTTGAGGCAATGGCTCCCTAACTTGGCTGGGCTCAGGACCACTGGAGCACCTGCTAACAGACTCGGATTCCCCAGCCCTGCCCGAGCCCTCTGAGTCAGAAGTCTGGGCAGGGGCCTAGGGGACATGCGCCTTAAGCCAGCTCCTGGGGGAGGCCAGCACTGCTTCACGACCACTCTGCCCAGCCAGGCTGTTGGCTCTGGGGAGGGGAATAGCCCAAGCCCAGTCCCATAGGCTCCCACCCACACGGGGCAGCCAGTGAGAGATGTGGGAGGCTTGGGCATCGCCTGCGCGAGTCACCCGATTTTCCCAGCCTCTCTTGTGGGATGGTGTCTTCCTTTCCTATTGCTGCTGTCGCAAATTACCACCAACGTAGTGGCTCAAAGCAGCACAGTTCTGTGGGTCAGAAGTCCAGCGTGGGTCTTAGTGGGCTGAAAGCAAGGTGTTAGCAGGGCTGGTTCCTTCTGGAGGCCCTTGGGGAGAATCTGTTTCTTGGCATTTTGCAGCCACCCACATTCCTCTGCTCATGGCCCCTTCCTCCAAAGCCGGAAGGGCAGCATCTCCCAGACCCCGCTCCCATCGCCGCCTGCCTGATTGCCTTCTGCCTCCCTCTTCCACGTGTAAGGACCCCTGTGATTACGCTGGGCTCACCGGGATAATCCAGGATCATCTCACCATCTCAAGATTCATCTAATTCCACCTGCCAGGTCCCTTCGGGCACCCAAGGCAACATATCCACAGGTTCTGGGGATTAAGAAGTGGTCTTCTTCAGAGGTCGTTATTCTGCCTACCACAGATGGGGATGGTAAGCCTGGATCCCTCTACACCAGCATTTCTGGAGTTTGCCCATCTTCGGCTTGCATCAGCTTCACCTGGGCCACTTGTTCCAGATACCGAGAGCAGGGCCGCCCAGACCCCAACCCCACACCCGAGCCGTGGGTTGCTGGCTTTTCCTAGGCATTCCAGGTGATTCCACACATGCTGACATTTGATAGCCCGGGAGAGATGAAACCTCGAGTGTGACAGGTGCCCTGGGGTACTCTGTAGGGAAGAGGAGGGTTACATCCCCAGCCCTCAGCTACAACCTGACGGCCCCATCGAGTCACAAGTTCCCCCAAGCTTTGGGGTTGAAGACCCTCGGGAGGTGCTTCCCGTGCCTGCAGATTTCACTCTGCTGGACGCTTTCCCCAGGACCCAGGAGGACTCCCCAAACCTAAACCCATGCTCCAGGCCACTTGGGACTGCTCATGCCAGTGATTCAGCAGGTGGGGCCAGGAGTCCCTGCCAGCAGGGGTGCCCAGCCTGCCTCCTCCTGGTGAGGCATGACTGGGTGAGGGGATGATGTCAAGGACTCAGAAGAGCCACAGGCCCCTCTCATTTCCATGCCCTATTATAAACATAGATGGGCATGGCCCAAGGAGAGCCTGGTTACCAGTGCTCCAACACTGCAGGTCACCCCTGGATAAGCCACCTACTGCCTATGGGTGAAGGGACCCTAGCAGGGTGGTAGGGGAGGGAGGTGACCTCGTGGACTTAATGCGGGACCTGGGGGAATCTTGAGTGTTCCGAGGGGTGCACTGCAGCTGGCAAGGTTTGCACCTGCACCACGAGCTCTCCACCTGCGCTCAGCACAGTGAGCAATGGCTCTATGCTGGAACCTTGCAGTGACCACCTCCAGCTCCTGCATTTCTGCCTCTGGAATGTTTCTTAAGCCCCGGAACTCTCCTCAGCCTTCATGCAGCAGCAACCTGAAAGCATAGGAGACGTGGGGGAAATCCTCTGCCCAGCAGGAGAAATTCCGAGATGCTTCCTGCAGTTCCCCAAAGGGGCTCCACCAGGCTGGTCACCTGGGATCCCCCCCCCACATAAACAACCTGCACCCACATCTCTACCTCTGCTCCCAGGGGATCCCATCTGTGATGCTTTCCTTCATCTTTGGGCCAGTCCAGATTGGGATCAGACCCACACTTACCCTCCACACACGTGCATACGACACGTGCATACAACACACACATGCACACAGCACACCATATGCACACAGCACCACATATATGCACACAGCACACACACACATGCACAAACCGCCCACACATGAATACAGCACACACATGCATATAGCACACACATGCACAGCACACCACATGCATACGCTACACACACATGCACACAACACACACATGCACACAGCACATGCATGCACACAGCATAAAACATACACCACACACATGCACACAGCACACAGGCACACAGCATAAAACATACACCACACACATGCATACACCACACACATGCACACAGCACATAGGCACACAGTACCACACATACAGCACACCCACATGCACACAGCACACACATGCACAGCACCACACACATGCATAGAGCACAAGAATGCACATGGCACCACACACATAGGCAGAGCACACATGCACACAACACATACATACACCACGCACATGCACACAACATACATACATGCACGCAGCACCAACATGCACACAGCACACACACATGTGCATAGCAGACAACACACACATGCATATACCACACACTCATGCACACAGCATCACATATATACACACACGTGCACAAAACAGCGCTACATACACAAGCATACAACACACACACATTACACACATGTGCTGCATACACATGCATAGAACACACCACACATTCACACAAGTGCACATACACATACTGCATATACCATGCATGCACACATGTGCAAATCCATATACACACACACACCCTCTCTCTTGCTCCTCCCAGCCCAGGCTCAGTGGGTTGGCAGCCCTGGACTGTAAAGGATCATTAAATGTGGCCCCCTCCCGTGGCTGACTATAGGATGACTTCTCCTGGAGCTCTGCCCTTGCAGTAACTTTGGAGGGTTTTCACCAGACCAAGAATGGACGAGTTACGGGTCGGCTAATAAAATGCTTTGGCCAGAGCCCAAAGTTCTGTCCTCAGTGTTTCCTGATTTTATTGGTGAACTTGCTCAGCAGCCTTGCCCGGTGCCCCTTCCCTGAGTCACGTGCTGTGGCTGTGCCAAGCATCCCGGGCAGACGTACTGCAGGGCCTCACAGGCTCCTGCTCTGCGTAAGCGCCTGCAGCTGCTGGAGCCCGTGCTGTCCTTCCTTCCTCCCTGAGGACCCGCACCAGGCAGGCACCCGCAGGCCCCGCTGCCTCCAGACCTCCTCCACATGCCCCTGGCCCCACAGTCCCAGCAGGTGCTGTCTGCTGTGAAGGGGCTCCTCGCCCTCCTGGGAAAGGTACCCCATTCATCCTGCCAGGACCCCTGCCATCGCTGTCACTTCTCACACATTCTCCTATCTCCCATCATCCAGTCCTGTGGCTTCTCCCCCAGAAACAGCCCTCAGGTCTGCCCCATTCCCTGCCCCCTGCCCAGGTCTGTACTCATCAGCTCTCCCCTGCCTGCCAACTCCTCGTGGGCCTGCTGCCTGTCCCTCGTGGCCACACCCAGTGAACAAGGACTCCAGCCCCACTAACCCAGTGCTGCGTTGGTGGGGCACACTCAGGTCTCCCAGAGTCACACGTGTGCAGGATGTGCCATCCAGGCCAGGGGCAGCTACGCAGGGGCTGAAGGTGCTGGGAAAGGCCTCATGGGTGTCAGGACCCCTACATCTGGGGACAGCACCACCCCCTCCTGCTGGGGGTGCTGCTGGCAGAGCTGCAGCCACACCTGCCCCTGTGTCGACACCCAGAGGACAGGATCCAGCTCCTTGCCCACCTGGACACCCTGCCTGGCCCTGTTCCCTTCCACCTTGGCTCCAGCCTCTTTTTTGCAAAAACAATGCAAAGTCCATGCCAGCCACAGGGCCTCGCCCTTGCTATTCTCTCTGCCCACGGTGCTTTTCCCAGACCCTGTATGGCCAGTGCCTTGTCTGATGTGCCTGGAGAGGCCCTTCCTGGGCCCTCCCTTCTAAAGCAGCCCCACCGCACTCAACCACCTCCCCAGTATGGCTTCCTTCATGGCGCTCGGCGCTCTCCGAAATGATTGTTTTTACTCTTTTGTTTGTATGGTTAGTTTTCAGCCTCCCTTCTCTAAACCATGAGTTCCAGGGGGCAGGAACCCCATGTCGGGCTCTCTGCTATATTCCCAGCACCCAGCATGGTGCCCGGCACACATAGGCCCTAGGTAAGTGTCCACCCAATAGATGTCTCAGGGCAGTGGTGGGGTGAGGGGAGACTGAGTTGACGGCCCTAGGGATGGCTCACCCTCTGTCCCAATGCCCTCACTCAGGGATTAGCCCCGGGGCACGTTCTGGAGTGAGAAGTTGGGTGGGCAGGGTAGGGGCTGGGCAGGAGAGGTTCCTTGCTAGAGGGCACTCCTGGGTGGGCTATGAGGGGGCGGGAGCAGATACCTCCCAGGGCCCAGTGGTGGCACCTGCAGCCAGGGTCCCACAAAGCTGGAGGCTCAGGGCAGAACTCCACGCTGGCCGCGAGGCTCAAAAACCTTCCTGGTGTTGCATGAGCCGCGACTGCAGCTCATGCGTCTTCCTCAGCACAGGCCCAACTCTCGGCAGCGATGGGTCTGGCAGGGAGAGGACGCAGGAGACCTCAGGGGACACGGTCTTCTCCTTTGTCCCAGAGCAAAGCTCTGCCACCCTCACCCCTGTGGGACACGGAGCTGTGGCCATGAGCTAGTCCACACCCATGTTCCAGTTGCCCTGGCCTCATCCAAGCATCCCCTACCCTGCTCCCAGCAGGGCAATCATGCTTCAGTGGCCCCAGCCACTTGCTGGAGAAAGTTCTTTATCAGGGGACAGCAGCCTTTGCTCACAGAGCAAGGGTGAGCTGGGGAAAGACTGGCCTCACCACCCTGACCTGCACTTGGTTAGGAGGGCCGCTCAGTGCTGCCCAGACCCCAGAACAACACAGCTGAGTGGGTCAGCTCTTCTGAGGTGCCTCTTGCGGCCTCTCCTCCTAGACTCCTGGCTTCCTCCAGGCGACACCCTGGGACTGGACCTGAGGCTTAGGGGCATAGGGTGATAATCGGAGAAGATGCAGGGAGGGCCCAGTGCCTGCACCCTGAGGCGCATCTGTCTATCTGCTGGGAGCACACTGCTCACCCCTGACCAAGTGCCTGCCTCTGTTCCTCCTCCCTTTCCCCACACCTGACCCTTGGTCTCAGATGTCACCCTCCCTAGGGCCAGCCTCTGGCCCTGGCCCTGGCCCCAGCCCTGCTGTCTCCCTGCCTAGCTACCTGGCCCACATTCATTCTAATACATCTGTATGCCCTAGGCAGCTGCCTGCTCTCTCCAGGACTCAGTTTCCCTAACTGTTCAAGAAATGGGCTGGACTGTTGTTCTTAACCTGTCCATTCTTCCAGGAACAGCCTTCACGGAAGCTTGGAACAGCACCTTACTCCATCCTCAAAGCTGACACAGGACTAACTCTGCCTCAGCTCTAGTGAGACGACACCCAGGCCTGCTATTCCTGCTCCCTAGGTCTTTGGAAATGGCCTGAGCTCAGCTCCTCGGAGCCTGTGTGTGGCAGCCGCAGGCTGTCCTTGCAACTATCAGGCAGCTGTGCCCTCTCTGAGGTGTCAACCCAGGGCCATTCTGCCACAGAAAGACTGGGAGATAGGGGAGGCCAGTTTCTATGCACATAGGTTAAGTACCTGGATCTAGCCATTCCTCTAAGCAGTAAACCTTGGCTTTTTATGATCCACAAACCAGCTTTTTGCTCAAGCTGGTTGGGTTGAGTTTTGGGCCACATCTCATCAGGCAGGTCCTGACTAAAGCAGAGTGAGGTGAAGGCAGCTGGAACTTCCGTGTCGGGTGGGGACTTGGAGAACTTTTCTGGCTAGCTAGAGGATTGTAAATGCACCAATCAGCACTCTGTAAAAACGCACCAATCAGCACTCCGTGAAACGGACCAATCAGCAGGACATGGGTGGGGACAAATAAGGGAATAAAAGCTGCCCGCCCACCCCTCGCCAGCCAGCAACAGCGGCGACCGGCTGTGGTCTTTTTCCCTGCTGTGGAAGCTTTGTTCTCTTGCTCTTCACAAGACATTTTGCTGCTACGCACTCTTTGGGTCTGCACCACCTTTTTCTTTTCTTTTCTTTTTTTTTTTTTTTGAGATGGAGTCTTGCTCTGTCGCCCAGGCTACAGTGCAGTGGTGCAATCTCTGCTCACTGCAAGCTCCACCTCCCCGGGTTCACGCCCTTCTCCTGCCTCAGCCTCCCGAATAGCTGGGACCACAAGCGCCCACCACCAAACCTGGCTAATTTTTTTGTATTTTTAGTACAGACAGGGTTTCACCGTCGCACCACCTTTAAGAGCTGTAACACTCACTGCCAAGGTCCCTGGCTCATTCTTGAAGTCAGCCAGACCAGGAACCCAGCGGAAGGGACAAACTGCGGACACAGGAGGACAGGTGTCCTGACCTCTATGCTGGGACCAACCAGGGAACTTTTCACTGAAGACCCAGTTCAAGGAGGCCACTGGATCCTGTTAGAGCCCCTCTCCCTTTCTAAAAGTGAAATCATGCATCGCCATCCTCCCAGAACCCCGGTGTCTTCAAAGTGGTGTCCACCCTCCCTGGGGGCCACGGGAGAGCGCCGAGAAGGTTGGGGAGGGGGGGTGTCCACCCAGGGATGTCCCATTGGGGGACACAGACAACCTAGGTGGCCAGTCCAGAGAACCGGGCCGGGCCCAGTCTTGAGGAGAGAGGGTGAACTGGGTTTTGGGGCGCCAGAGGCCCACCAGGTGAGGTGTAGGCTGGGGCAGCTGGGGCGCAGAGTCCGCCAGGGTCCGCGCGCGGGAGGGCAGCGTCTGACGGCCCGAGCGGGTGGTCCTGGCGCGGGGGGCCAGCCGCCGCGGAGGCCTGAACGCAGGGCGGGACGCTTGGCTCCGCGGCCGGGGCACGGAGGGCCCTGGTGTGCAGCGCCGCCCGCGGGCTCCCGCAGCTCCACCCCCGCGCCCCGCCCGCTCCGCGCTGCCTGAGTGCCACGAGGGGGCGCAGCGCCGCGTTGCTCCGGGGCCGCCGCCAGGCGCTCGTGCGGGCTGCGCTGGGAGCCGGGCGGTCGGGCGGCGGCGGCGGCGGCGGCGGCGGCGGCGGCGGCGGCGGGCGGCGCCCCGGTCCGCGGCGCCGAGGCTCGCACCGGGAGCTGCCCATGGGCCGGGCCCGGAGTTCCGGCGCGCCGGGAGCCGGTGAGTGGTGCGCGGCCGAGGGACACCTGGCGGTGCGGGCAAGGGCGCGGGCTCGCGGGGGCTGGGGAGGGCTGCCGGCGGCGCGGCGGGGTCGGCGGGAGGCGGGAGGCTGCGCGCGGCGCGGGAGCGTGCGCCGGGGTCAGCAGGGGCGGGGTCCGCGCGGCCGCCGGGACTGGAGGCGCGGGGGTAGCGGGTAGGGTACCCTGAGGGCACACCCCCGGCCACCTGGCGGGAGACCCAGCTCTGCCGCGCGCCGCCAGCCCCTGCTGGGCGCGAGGAGCAAGCTTCTTTCAGCCGCTAGAGTGGCAGGAAGAGCCAGCCTAGACCAAAGCCTCCACCCGCACCGGACCTCAGTTTCCCCGTCTATGAAATGGGGACGGGAAAGCAGACCTGCCGGTGCACGTGCAGAAGGGAAAGGGCCTTGCGCCTGGGGGAAGAGGGTGCTGTCACCCTTGAGGATGGGATCGGATTTGAGGAAAGGACCAGCGCCACTATCAGAGGGCCTGCGAGAACAGTGGGGTCTGCTGGGAGTCCTGGGTGTGTCCCTCACGCAGTGACAGCGGACGGCATCAAGGGACCACCTGGTCCACTCATTGTATTTAGATTGGGAAAGCGATGCTTGGGGGGACTTGGGGAAGGGTGCTGGCGACGCCGCCCCATGCTCAGCGTGGGCGTGGGAAACTGTGGGAAAGACAGAGCTGGGAAGTTGGGGTGCTGGTGGAGCTCTTCCGGGCCCGTATCTCCTGCCTCCTGGGGCTGTGGGAGAGACAGAAGTTCTGAGCCCCGGGAGCCTGAGAAGAGTCCTGGGAAGCTCTGCCTGCCAGGCAGGTGGAGTAACTGAGGTTTAGAGAGGGGCGGGACCATGGAGTGGCAACGCTGGGGTCCCACCTCTGGTAAGACTGGCTCCAACAGCCATAGTGCAGCCACTGTGCAGGCGACCGGTGGAGGGGGGCTAGGGTTGTCCACTCACTGGCCACATTCATTGAGCGCCTACTGTGTGCCGCCTGCTGCCTGCCCCCGTAAGTGCTCACTAGCTGGTGTGGGAGGGGACACCAAACAAGAAATCAAAGGCAAAAGCAAGGACATGGCCAAGATCTTATGCGTGCTGGGAAGAACATGCAGTAGGGTGACTGGGGCAGAGGGAGACCAGGGCGCGGCGGAGCCTTCGTCTGGTCAGGGAGGCTGTCCTGAGCGGGGAGCCCAGCCTGTGATGGACGGGTAGCCCGGGGGAACAGCGCGGGTGAGATCCCTGAGGGCAGGAGGGGGCGGAGCTGGAGCTGAGACGCTACAGGGTCTGGACGTCCTGGGCAGCCCCCAGGCGGTTTGCAGGTTGGGCGTCGAAAGGCTGCCCGTGGCGGCGGGTGGGCGCACTGCCGGGGCAGGAGAGGGAGGGCAGGCGAGAGAGGGACGGGCTGCGGAGCCCAGGGCGGGACTGGCGAGGGGGAGCCCGCAGGCCACCAGGTAGAGGTGGGGCCCTGCCCGGGACCTGGCCCTTTTCAGGCCGGGGTCTGCACCCTCCTGCCATGTCCCCGCCAGTCTCTGAGGTGGTTCCAGCTCTCACTTGTACCTGGACCCAGATCCAGAGTCAGCCATTTGTCCAAGGGGCCTTGGTTCCTTGCGTGGGACCCGGGCTTAGTGTGGGGCGTGCACTCGCCGCCTCTAGGCCTTGTCAGTGGACCAAGCCAAGGCCCCTTTTTTACTAAAAATTAATATTTCCTTTCCCTTTCTCCTGCAGTGAGAACCTTATTCCCCCAAACATGAATATATTTCATCATTTACTTAGCTCCACAATGCACCCCGAAAGAGTTTCAGAATGACTGCATCCACACCGAAGCCAACCAAAACCTGCTAGGTCAGCATCGGGATTTCCACGGGTGTGCAGGCAGAGTGCTGTGTGGTGACGTTATCAGTCGGACACACTGTTAGCTTCGTGTGTTTCTACTTGCATTCAATTTGGAGCTTTTTTTCCTTTAGACTTTAGGATGTAATTTTATTTTTTGAATACGTAAAACACATGGTTTAAAGGTCAGAACTATTAAAAAGCTATCCTTAAAGGTCTCAGTCCCACCCCTGCATCTTCTTCCTTGTTCCCACACCATTGGGAGCCATTTAAAATATTTTCTGGTTTATCCTTCCTGTGTCTCTTTCTGCAAAACAAGTCATTTAAGCATTATCACAAAAGTTAGCCGTACAGCTCCTGGTTTTTCTTCAGTTAGAAGTATGTCCTGAAAGTAACTTCTTACCAGTTCATGGAGACCTGGCTCATTCTTTTTTACACTCACATAGTATTTCGTTCTGTGGCTGTACTATTATTGTTTATTCAAATTATGTCCTCTGGATGAACAATTTTGTTTTTTTCCAAGTCTTTTTAAATTTAAAATAATGGAGTAATGGATAACTTTGCACCTATATTGTTAATGTTTGCAAAGGTGTATATTTAGAACACACTTCTAGAAGTAGGAGTGAATGTGGATTTATTTTGTTAGCTAGTCCCAAATTCCTTGTCAAGAGGTAGCACCGTTTTGCATTCCCACCACCGATGTATCACAGTGTCTTCTGTTTCCCCACAGCCTCGCTGGTTTGAGAGCTGAGAAACAGTATTTCAGTGTATTTTAAATTTATATTTCTATTATTATAAATGAAATTGGACATCTTTTCACATAGATTTGGAATCATACTTAGACTTTTCTAACTATGAAAAGCCCAATTATAAAGCAATCATCTGTGTTTTCTAATATTTGTTTAGTTGTGTACTTAGTCTCTGCATCCAATTTAATCTTTTTCTAAGTGTCTGGCACTCTGTCCCAAAGCCATTTATTTAAAAGGTCATCTTTCCTCCAGTGATCTGAAATGCACCTTTCTCATACACTAAAAATCCAAGCCCTGGGCCTGTTTCTGGGCTTTCTAGTGTGTCTCACAGGTCTGTCTGTTCCATCTGTTCACATACTGGTGAAAGAGAGAGAGAGAGAAAAAATATATTTAAAGGCAAGGAGGGCCTGGCACAGTGGCTCACGCCTGTAATCCCAGCACTTGGGAAGGCTGAGGCAGGCAGATCACTTGAGGTCAGGAGTTTGAAACCAGCCTGGCCAACATGGTGAAACCTTGTCTCTACCAAAATATATAAAAAATTACCCGGGAATGGTGGCACATGCCTGTAATCCCAGCTACTTGGGAGGCTGAGGCATGAGAATCGCCTGAACCTGGGAGGCAGATTTTGCAGTGAGCTGAGCTGAGATTGTACCCCTGCACTCCAGCCTGGGCAACAGAGTGAGACTCTGTCTCAAAATAATAATAATAATAATAATAATAATATTATAATAATGGCAAAGAGGACTTTATTCAAGACCATTGCAATAGAGGAGAGAGATTGGGCTCAACTCTCCTTGTTGTGTTTTAACATGTGGTGGGCAAGTTCCTTCCATCGCTTTTTACTGCAAGGATTTCCTGGCTGTTGCAGCACGTTGCTGCTGTTCGGGCGGGGAAGGAGAGCGTATTAAGTTTATATTAGGCTTGTATATTAACTTTAGGATAATTGGCATCTTTATGAAGTTGAGTTATCTTATCCAAAACTGAGAGATGTCTTTCTGTTTGTCAAGACTACTTCTAGGAGTGTTTTGAAATTTTCCTCATATATGTTTTTCCTATTTCTTATGAAGTTTATTCATGAGTATTTTTATCTTGTGTGTTGCTACTATAAATGGTTTTTTCTTCAATTATATCTTTGAATTGGCTACTGTTTCGTGTATGTTATTTTATATCTTTCTGTCTTACCTGAATTTTTATTGTTAGTTTTATTGTTAGTCTTTTTTTTTGTTTTTATTTATTTATTTATTTATTTTGAGACGGAGTCTCGCTCTGTCACCCAGGCTGGAATGCAGTAGCGTGATCTCTGCTCACCACAACCTCCACCTTCCAGGTTCAAGTGATTCTCGTGCCTTAGCTTCCCAGGTAGCTAAGATTACAGGTGCCTGCCACCACGTCAGGCTAATTTTTGTATTTTTAGTAGAGACGGGGTTTTGCCATCTTGGCCAGGCTGATCTCGAACTCCTGACTTCAGATGATCTGCCATCTCAGCCTCCCAAAGTGCTGGGATTACAGGCATGAGCCACCATTACCGGCCTGTTGTTAGTCATATCTTTGATTCTGTTAGTCATTCTGTCATCTACAAATTCAAATAGCTTTACTGCTTCTCTACTGATTTTTATGCTTTCTTTTATCTAATTAAATTGGCTGAATACCTCCAATTCAGTATTAAATATTGGATGTGGTGGGCCTCCTTACCTTGTTCCTGACCTTAGTAAAAAGGCCTCTAATACTTCCCCTATTAAGAAAGATGCTGACTTTAGGATGGGAAGAGATAGATAGATGAGATAGATAGATAGATAGATAGATAGATAGATAGATAGATAGAGGAATATCCATTGACTCCTATTTTATTGGCAGTTTTAAAAATCAGGATTGGTGTTGACCTTTGTTAGAGCCATGTATGTAGATAATGATCTGATATTTCTCCTGATTACTAGTAGCATAATGAGTCATGTGATGGATTTCCCAATATCAGGTCTGGGACTAGGCTGAGGTAAACAGACACAAAACGTATGAATATTAACACTAGGCCATCTTTGCATTTCTGAAATAAGTCCCACTTGGACATGATGTAGAAAATAGTTTGGCAGTTTCTTTAAAATTTAAACATAAAAATACCATATGACCCAACAGTCCCACTCCCAGGAATCTAAGAGAAATGAAAACAATGAAATGTCCACACAAAGACTTGTACACAAATGCTCATAACAGCATTGCTTATAATGGCCAGAAAAGTAGAGACAACGCAGTTGTTCATCAACTGGTGAATAAATAAACAAGATATATATCCGTACGATGGAATATAGTTTAGCAATTACAGTTGGCCCTTGAACAATGAGAAGGTTAGGGATGCTGACCCCCACACAGTCAAAAAGCTATGTATAACTTTTGTCTTCCCCCAGATTTCACTTTGTTGTTGTTGTTGTTGTTGTTTGTTTGTTTGTTTTTTGAGACAGAGTCTCACTCTGTCGCCCAGGCTAGAGTGCAGTGGCATGATCTCGGCTCACTCCAACCTCTGCCTCCCAGGTTCAAGCGACTCTCCTGCCTCAGCCTCCCAAGTGGCTGGGATTACAGGCGTGCACCACCATGCCCGGTTAAGTTATATTTTTGGTAGAGATGGGGTTTCATCATGTTGGCCAGGCTGGTCTCGAACTCCTGGCCTCAAGTGATCCTCCCACCTTGGCTTCCCAAAGTGCTGGGATTACAGGCGTGAGCCACCGCGCCCAGCCTGTAGTATGTTTCAATATCATTGTATTAGTTATCTATTGCTGTGTACTAAGTTATCATTGACCTAGTGGCTTAAAGCAACGCATGGCTTATTAGCTCATCATTTCTGTGAATCAAGAGCCTGGGCATGGCTTAGCTGAGTACTGCTGGTGGCCAGCACTAGGTTCTCATGTAGAGACTCAGCTAGGGAAGGATTTGCTTCTCCACTCATGTGGTTGTTGGCAGTATTTAGTTCTTTGTAGTTATATTTAGAGCTTAAAATTTTGGCTGGATGTTGGCTGGAGGCCAACCTCAACTTGTTAGGGTCACCCCCAGTTCCTCGGGACTACCCACAGGTCTTTGTCACATGGGCTTCCCCAGCATGACTGCTTACTCTATCAAGCCAGCAAAGAGTCCCTAGAGAGTCATAACATAACAAAACATAACATAGTATAACGTGACATACATGATATAACAACGTAACATAATCCCAGTAGTGATATCCTATCATCTTTGCCATAGTCTGTTGGTCAGAGGAAAGTCAAAAGCCCCACCCAGTCCCAAATGTATGAACACCAAGAGGTAGAGCTCATGCCGGTGAGCACCATAGAAACTGCCTGTTGGATGTTGGATTCTGATTACTAATATTTATTTTTGCCAAAGTTTTCCCAGTCACCCTTTGACTGGACAAAGCTTAGCTTCTGTTGGTTCCTTAAGAAAGACTTGTGAGTACTGGCCAGGCGCGGTGGCTCACACCTGTCATCCCAGCACTTTGGGAGGCCGAGGCGGGTGCATCACGAGGTCAGGAGATCGAGACCATCCTGGCTAACACGGTGAAACCCCGTCTCTACTAAAAATACAAAAAATTAGCCCGGCGTGGTGGCGGGCACCTGTAATCCCAGCTAGTCGGGAGGCTGAGGCAGGAGAATGGCGTGAACCCGGGAGGCGGAGCTTGCAGTGAGCCGAGATTGTGCCACTGCACTCCAGCCTGGGCGACAGCGAGACTCCGTCTCAAAAAAAAAAAAAAAAGAAAGACTTGTGAGTACTGTTATTTCCTGCTTGCTTGCTTTCTATACTCTTGCTACTTGAAGGATAGATTGGCAGGTTATAAAATCCTTGCCTCTTACTTTCTGTCCCTAAATTTTTAAAAATGTTGTTATGGGTTGTATTGCTTGTACATTGTTGACAAGATGTCTGATATAAACATGCCTTTCTTTCCTTTGTAAGTGACTTGATTGTTTTTCTGGAGCTCCAAAGAATTTTTTTTCTTTATTTTTAAAGTTTAATCATTTTACTAGGCATTCTCTTGGAAATGATCTTAGGTACGTGGGGGACTCTTTGAATATGCATATTTAAGTCTTCTTTTATTTCTAAAACATTTTCTTAGATTATAGTGTTAAATATTATGTACCATTATTTTACCTTTTTTCTTCAGAGATGCCAATAATATGTTTGTGTTAGATCTGTTTTTCATCTGTATTCTAGATTGCTTTCTCTATGAATTTTATTTTTGTTTTATGGTTGTTTTCATTAATTTCCTTAATGAACACTATTAAGCTTTTAGTCAAATCTGTTCTCCCTAAGAGATTTTCTAATTCAGTCTTCATTTCTGAGATGATGGTCTTTTCCTCATTTTTTTTCATGAGTTCAGGCAACTCTAATTTCACATTTACCTTTTTTTGGGTCCATTTCTGTTGAGTTTTTGAATGTATAATGTAGGGATTTTCTTCATGTGTCTGAATTTTTAGTGTGTCTTCATCTGTTCATCTGTATCAGAAACTGGGTTAGTTTACAAACAACAGAACGATTTCTCACAGTTCTGGAGGCTGGAGGTACAAGATCAAGGTATTTGGTGAGGGCCGCATCCTGGTTCGCAGATGGCTCCTCTCCTCACGCCCTCACATGGAGGAAGGGACAAGGGAGCTCTCTGGATCCTCTTTTCTAAGGGCACTAATCTCATTGATGAGGGCTCTGCCCTCGAGACCTAATCTCGTCACAAAGGCCCCCGCCCCCAAATGCCATCACACTGGGGACTACGTTTCCATTATAAATTTTGGGGGACGTAAACTTCCAGACCATAGCATTAGGTAATTCAAGTTGAGGTGTTGCGTGTGGTTTTTCCCTTTGTAAATTGGGGGTTTGTGGGAAGGATTAGTGTCGGCTCTTTATACTGGCTTTGTATGGATATTATCTGTTAACTTAGAGATGTCTTAATTTGCCTGGACTGGTGGTAACAGATGGCTGCAGGCAGGAGCTGGGGGCTTGGGAACCGTAGTAGGTTTCTTAGTGTAAGAGCGCCCTCTCCTGTTGTTGTTATGAAGTGCACCATTTTCTTGTGCTTTGGGAGGCGGGAGTGGACTTGTGTTTTCTGAGTTTACAATATTCACTTTTGCTTCCGTAGGTCCTTGAATGTCCAGGCTTGCTACTTCCTGTCTGTTACTAGCAAGCCTCCGAAGGCTGCCTCTACTTCCAGGCCACATGCCTGGCCCCTAGAAGCAGGGCCTTCCTGAGACAGCCACCTCCGGGCTCGAATGCTGTCTCCTTTCAGTTCCCCAGCCGCCAGTGCTCTGACACCCACCCTCAGGCGTGCTCTGTTTCCCCATGTAGGGTGGGACTTTCTTCTTCTTGTTTTTATTTAGAGACAAGGTCTCGCTCTGTCACCCAGGCTGTAGTGCGCTGGTGCGATCACAGCTCACTGCAGCCTCCAACTCCTGGGCTCAAGTGATCCTCCCACCTCAGCCTCCCGAGTAGCTGAGACCACAAGCACCTGCCACCACACTTGGCTAAAGGACTTTCTTTTTTTCATAGTTCTTGGTCCCAGCTCCCCTCTCCTCATTCCCACAGTGCCTCTCCCTGAGCCCTCACCCCACCAATGCCAGCGTGGGCCCTGGAGCCGGTTCTGAAGGTTGGCTTTCCTCGCCCACACCAGTTAGAGGAGCGCGCGCCCTGTCTCCTACTCATGCTGGAGGCATGGGCATGGATGGTTTTATTTGCTCTCCTGCTTGGTCCATATTGGCTTTTACCAAGGAGAGGATTGGATTCAGGTGGCCACCATTATCTCTGGGGACCTAGAGATGTCTGCAGCCTTTTTACTTGAAAAGCTCCATAAAGAATGGTGTACTTGGCTGGGCGCGGTGGCTCACGCCTGTAATCCCAGCACTTTGGGAAGCCGAGGTGGGCGGATCACAAGGTCAGGAGATCGAGACCATCCTGGCTAACACGGTGAAACCCCGTTTCTACTAAAAATACCAAAAAAAAATTAGCCTGGCGTGGTGGCGGGCGCCTGTAGTCCCGGCTACTCGGGAGGCTGAGGCAGGAGAATGGCGTGAACCCGGGAGGCGGAGCTTGCAGTGAGCCTAGATCGCGCCACTGCACTCCAACCTGGGCGACAGAGCAGGACTCTATCTCAAAAAAAAAAAAAAAAAGAATGATGTACTCTTCATCTCTTCATCTATTAAATAAATCCATCAATTTTTTTTTCCAGCTCTGTAGCCCAGGCTGGAATGCAGTGGCACAATCTCAGCTCACTGCAACCTCCGCCTCCCAGGTCCCGGTTCAAGCAATTCTCCTGCCTTAGCCTCCTGAGTAGCTGGAATTACAGGCACATGCCACCGTGCCCAGATAATTTTTGTATTTTTAGTAGAGACAGGGTTTCACCATGTTGGGCAGGCTGGTCTTGAACTCCTTACCTTGTGATCCACCCGCCTCAACCTCCCAAAGTGCTGAGATTACAGGCGTGAGCCACCACGTCCGACCCGATTTTTAACACTTTGGAACATTTGCTCATTATTTTTACTAAGCCATTTAAGAGTAAGCTACAGGAATCAAGACATCAGCATCACCTTAGAACACGGAAATTCTTCTAGGAAACCACAATTTGAATGCACGTTCAAGAAATTTAATATGAGCCAGGTGAGATCACTGATACCTGTAGTCCCAGCGCTTTGGGAGGCTGTGGTGGGAGAATCGCTTGAGGTCAGGGGTTCAAGGCTACAGAACAAGATCCCATCCGGGAAAGAAGGAAGGAAGGAGGGAGGGAGGGAGGGGAGGGGAAGGGAAGGGAGGGAGAGAGGGAGGGAAGGCAGAGGTCACCTTGGTTTATGAATTTTGAATAAGCTGACACCACTGTTACCAGTTCAGGGCCTTCCGGTCCCACACCAGCATCCTAATTGGTGCATTTCTGCTTTACGTGCAGTGGATGTCGCTAAGCGTGGGACGGAGTGCAGACCCTTGGAATCAGCTAATTAGTGCCCCTGCAGAGGAAATATCTCCCCGGGTCATTTGGTCAGGAAGTTGTTTAGTTGTTTGTTTAGTTGTTAGTTGTTTAGTGTCCTTTCTGGCCTTATTTTAATATCCAGGATCCGGTCAGTGATGAAGGCTTGGATGTTTGCCGTGTCTTTTTGATCCCTTTAATCTACAGCGGGACTTCCACATGCTTTTTGTCGTTCCTGTAGAAAGCTTGCGTCCATTTTCTCCCACAATCCGGATTTGTCAGACTCTTTCCTAAAAACTCAATGCAGGCTAAGCATTTTGAGTCAGAATTGTTTTAAAATTGCAGAATGTGATGCTTCTCTAGGAGAAAGGCACCCCCTGCCACCTCTCCCGTCCTCTGCACTCCTGGGGGCTGCATGTCTGCCAGCAGGGGGTGGCAGGTGGGGGTTGGGGAGGAGAGGTGTGGTCCTTTTGGCTGAGACCACTAGGGGCCTGGGTAGGCTTTGCCAGGATGTGCTGTGGTACTGTTGGGCTCCTGCCTCAGTTTCCCTTCTACCCTCTGGGAGTCCTTCCTGGGGGCTTTCTCCTACTTCCTCACTCCTCCAGCCTCAAGGCCTGGACCTGTGGGCCCAGCTCTGCCTCCCTGGGTTCCTACTCTTGGCAAAGGTCCTTGCCAGGCTCATTTCATGCAGGACCCCCTAAAGGATCCCAGAAGCAGCAGAAGGTGCCCAGGTCATGGAGGCCTAGGTTTGAACCCATCTGCTATGGTCTGAGCATGTCCCCCCACAAATTTATATGTTGAAACATAATTGTTGACTGGTATATATTGAAACGTAATTGCCAGTGTGATTGTATTGAGAGGTGGAGCCTTTCATGGGTAGTACCCTAAAAAACGGAATTCGTTCCCCTATAAAAGAAAGAGGTATGAGGGAGCTGTTGTCCTTCCCCCATGTGAAGATGCAGGAGGGAGGCACCCTCTGTGGAGCAGAGAGCAACTTGATCTTGGACTTCTCTGCCTCTAGAACTGTGAGGCATACATTTCTACTACTTATAAATTATCCAGCCTCAGGTATTTTGTTATAGCAGCAGAAACAGACTAAGACACACTCCTTCCTCTCTGGGAGACTCTTACAGTCCTAGGATTGCTCTGGGCCTCAGACACCAGATGGGGCTCTCAACGCCAGAGCTGGCCAAGGCAGGCGTCCAGTATGCCTTCACTTTCTTCCCTTCTTGGGCACCCGACATGTGTCTTTGACTTTCAGAAATCATAGCAGGGGTCCTGGTCCTCTTCTGCTGGGTGGCGCTGTCTGGGGCTGGGGCCTGCAGAAGGGTGCGCTTTTGTCCTGCCTGTTTCCAGTTTCCTTAGGGCCTTACTGCCCAGGGTCCTGCCACCAATGGTGCCCCAAACTGCCACGCCCCATAAGCCTGTCCAGGAAGCGTCCTACAGACTCATCTGTGAAAGGCTCATGAATGTGAGGGGTCACCTTGGTTTATGAATTTGGAATACGCTAACTCAGGCACCGCTGTTGCCAGTTCAATGCCTTCCGGACCCACACCAGCATCCTAATTGGGGAATTTCTGCTTTACGTGCATTGGATGTCGCTAAGCGTGGGACGCAGTGCAGACTCTTGGAATCAGCTAATTAGTGCCCCTGCAGAGGAAATATCTACCTGGGTCATTTGGTCAGGAAGTTGTTTAGTTGTTTGTTTTAAAATCCAGACAGTGTTCAAAAGTGCCAATCTGGCTAAATAATACATAGTAAAATGACCACTGCTCTCTGTGACGGTTTAAGCACCTGCACAGTGCCATTGGCTGAGTCCCTGTGGCCTCAGGTAATTCCCACAGCAGCTGCCATCAATTTACAGATGGGGAAACTGAGGCTCAGGGACACAAGGGGACATCCCAGGGCCATGCAGCCAGTGTGGGCCTTGAGCTCAGCCTGCTGTCTGGGGTTTGTGCGGTTGACAGTCTGGGCTATTTTTGAGCGTGGACTGCTCTCACTCTCTGTCTTTGTGGGCCTCTCTCTGCTCACAGCCTCCCATCTGTCCATCACGTGGACCACCCAATAAACACATGCTGAGCAGCCGTGGGTTTCAGGCCTGAGCTAGGCTCAGCCAGGAGTGCCTCTCTGTTAACCCCCAGGCCTTCTCTGTCCAGCCTGGGTCCACTGTCAAGAGGCCACCACTGCCCTGAGCAGCACCCTGGATCCCGCCATTGCTTCCCCCTGCCGTCCCAGGGTTCGGGCTCCCCTCTGTCCCAGCCATTGTTGAGTGATTCACAGGTGTGTGGCTGAGGGAGGCAAGGCAGAGAGCTCCCGTGTGCCTGATGCACCCCTGCTTCCTGACGCCAAATCTCAGTCCCCAGATGGGACTCTCCAGGAAGGGGATCGTGCTGCAGAGGGACCAAGGAGGCTCATCAGAGGCAGGCTGGCCACAGGCGCCTGTCAGTGAGAGCAGCCCTGCCCTGTGGTGAGGTCTGAGGGGAGCCTCACCGACGCCAGCCTCGGGCAGCACACCCAGCTCCACATTCTGGGGTGAAGTCAGGTCTTGGGAACCCTCGGGCTCTTTGGATATTGTTACCCTGGTGTTACTCAGAAATGCTGCAGCTAGGTGTTGCTTTGAAATACAGAATTTTTATTGAGTGCTTCCTATCAAGCAGAGTGTGCCAAGTTCTCCTTAAACTTTATCTTGTGAGAATGGAGATTGATAAACAGAGAAATACCTGTTTCAAAAGATGAATAAGGTTGATTGCCCGCCAGCATGACCAAGCAAGACAAAAAAAGAGAAAGCACAAATGATCAACATCAGGAGGGAGAAAGGGCCATCGCTGCAGGTTCTCCCCAGGTGGCGAGGATAGCAGATAGCAAGGGATTTTTATGAAGAACCTCGTACCAATACATTTGATATACTTCAGAGAAAAATGAACAAACACCCCAAAAGACGTAACTTACCAAGACTGACATAAGAAGAAATACAAAACCTGAACAATACTATTTCTTTTTTTTTTTTCTTTTTTTTTCTTTTTTGAGACAGAGTCTCACTGTTGCCCAGGCTGGAGTGCAATGGTGTGATCTCGGCTCACTGCAACCTCCTCCTGCTGGATTCAAGCAATTCTCCTGCCTCAGCCTCCTGAGTAGCTGGTATTACAGTCTTCCGCCACGACACCTGGCTAATTTTTTATATTTTTGGTAGAGATGGGGTTTCACCATGTTGGCCAGGCTGGTCTTGAACTCCTGACCTCAAGTGATCCACCTGCCTTGGCCTCCCAAAGTGCCGGGATTACAGGTGTGAGCCACTGAGCCCGGCCCTGAACAATACTATTTCTGTTAAATAAGTTGAATTTATCATTAATAGGCTTCCCAAACAGAACATACCAGGCCCAGGAAGCATCCCTAGTGAGTTCTATTGAATAGTCAAGGAAGAAATGTTTTTAAATGAATTTTTAAAAGCTCTACATGACAAAAAAATGGTAAGTATGCAAAGTGATAGGTCCATTATCTTGACTGAGCCATCGCACAGCGTCTGCGTACATCAAAACATCACATTGTACACCATAAATACAATTTTTATTTGTCAATCCTACCTTAAAAATAAATAAATAAGTGTTTTTAATAATATTCCAGATAGTGGGGACCTGGACGGGGAGGATCTGTGGGCAGGGAGGATGCACGGGGGATTGTGACATGCCACTGCCTCACCGGACGGCGGGCCTGCAGGTATCTGTTTGTTGTGCTTTTCTTTTTTTTTTTTTCTTTTTTTTGAGACGGAGTCTCGCTCTGTCGCCCAGGCTGGAGTGCAGTAGTGGTGTGATCTCGGCTCACTGCAAGCTCCGCCTCCCGGGTTCACGCCATTCTCCTGCCTCAGCCTCCCGAGTAGCTGGGACTACAGGCGCCCGCCACCGCGCCCAGCTAATTTTTTTTGTATTTTTAGTAGAGACGGGGTTTCACCATGTTCGCCAGGCTGGTCTTGATCTCCTGACCTCGTGATGCACCCGCCTCGGCCTCCCAAAGTGCTGGGATTACAGGCGTGAGCCACCGTGCCCGGCCCTTGTGCTTTTTGACACGTGCACGCTACAGGTAAGCTTTTCATGTAGCAAATGTTACATAGCACAGTCATTTTCACAGTCATGTTGTAAGGAGTTCCCGTGTCGTCGTCTCATACACCTCCTGTTGGTCCGTACTCTGCAGATGCCCTTCTCAGTTTGGAGACCACTGAGTTAGTCAGGCCCCTGGGCCTCAGGGCACCTCCCTGCAGGGTCCCTCAAGGTGTCCCTGAGCTCATGTCTGTGTGAGGGCTGCAGTGGGAGTCAGCTCCAGGGACGCTGGCGGGAGGGCACGATGCCCCAGCTGCTCCCCAAGGTCAAACAGGAGTCAGGCCACGTGTGTGTTTGGAGAAGGAGAGGAGGGAGCAGCCAAGGTCAGGGCCCCCAGCTTGAGAGGCCCTGCAACTCCAGGCTGTTCTCTGCAGCAGGCACTGGGCCCCGCCCTGGTCGCCATCCTGCAGGCAGAGGGGAAGCATGGCCTCGGTACAGGAGGGCGCTGGGCCTTCCTCACCAGCCATTTCCCGATTTTCCTGTCAACCTTCAGCAGACCTGAAGCACAAGAAAGGCAGGTGGAGAAGCCAGGAGAAGCCGCAGCTCTGAGCTGCAGCAGGTCACTCAGCACGCTCCACCGCCCTGGCCACCGCCACTGCACGTGGGCTGGGGAGAGAGGGCTGGTTCGGAATCCTCGGAGAAGGTCGGTCAGGCTCCGGAGCCCTGTAGGGAGATGGATCTCCTGTGACGTACTCCCGTAAAATGCCCTAACTTTCCAGGACTGGAGTGGCTGACGGTAGCGCCCATCAGTCACCTGGGAAGTGGCAGTGTCCTGACCACAGTGGGGCTTTTCTCCAGCTTAGCACTTCCGACCAGCGGGCTGTGCTGACAAGCCCCTTGAGAATAAAAAATGGTACACTCAGTGGTTTTTGTGAACGTGCGCAAGGCGGATTTGAAAAGGGTGAGGCGAGAGTGTGACAGCTGCTCCCGGGACTTGAGCGTAGACCCCGTGGCCTCTGCAGTTTGCGCAGATGCTTCCGCATGGGTGCGGCCAAATTGTATTAGCACTTTGGATGATGAAAAGGACCTTAAAGTGTCTGCATGTCACCGTTCTTGAAATGTTTGCCGGGGAAAGCGTACTTCTATTTTGCAAACAGCGAGTATAAGAAAGAGGAACAAATTAGGTTATTGCGCTCTAACCAATTTCAGGAGCAGAGCCGTTGACAGATGCGCATTTCATATAATGAACGCGATCCGTGGTGTTGCCACTCACCTTAATGAGGAGAGAGAGGAGCGCCAAGCTCGCGCGTTCGGCTGCCCTCCCCGTCCGGCTCACACAGGGAGGAAGGCCCAGTGGTCCTGCTCTCTGCAAGCAGGGAGGACACCCCAAGGTCACACCGCATCCAGGCCCAGTGGACTTTCAGGGAGAAAGAATCTCTTTTTTTTTTTTTCAACCTTTTCATACAGAAAACAAACAAACAAACAAACACCATACAGAATAGGAAGAGTGTGAATCACCACACACCCGTCTCCCAGCTCCCAGGGCCGCAATGCCCGGCCGGTCTTCCTTGATCGCCACCCCAACCCTATTAGGTGCTTACAGCAAATCTGAGACACACTGTGGATTCCTCCTGGACTGATGGGGACTTTGTCTGCGTAAACTTCATGCCAGTTGACACATCTCATAAAATTAATAATAATTTCTTGGTATCATCTAATGGCCGGTCTGTAATCTGATGCCCCCATTACTTCAAAAATATCTTTTTACAGTTGGTTTGTTCAAATCTGGAAAGATCCACGTCCCACGTGCTGCATTTGATTTTTGTATCTCTTAAGTCTCTTTTATTCTGTAACAGTTCTTTTTGTTTGGTTGGTTGGTTTTTATTTGTTTTTTGGTCTTCACTCTGTTGGTTTGTGAGGGGATGGGAACACTTGTCCTGTTGAGTCCCCCGGTCCTGGCTGGGCTCTTCAATCCTTAGGGTGTCACCTTGCATGTCCCTCCCTGACTTTCCCCCCAGGGGAATCAGATCTGTAGCAGCTCTGTCCTGTCAAAATACTATGAGGGCCCCTGGCCTAATTTGAAATTTTCTAGTAGCCACGTTAAAAAAGGTGAAATTAACATTAAGAAGATATTTTAGGCCGGGCACGGTGGCTCACGCCTGTAATCCCAGCACTTTGGGAGGCCGAGGCAGGCGGATCACGAGGTCAGGAGATCGAGACCATCCTGGCTAACACAGTGAAACCCCGTCTCTACTAAAAATACAAGAAATTAGCCGGGTGCGGTGGCGGGCACCTGTAGTCCCAGCTACTCGGGAGGCTGAGGCAGGAGAATGGTGTGAACCCGGGAGGTGGAGCTTGCAGTGAGCCGAGATCGCGCCACTGCACTCTGGCCTGGGTGAAAGAGCAAGACACCGTCTCAAAAAACAAAACAACAACAAAAAAAACTGGCCGGGCGCGATGGCTCACGCCTGTAATCCTGGCACTTTGGGAGGCCAAGGTGGGTGGATCACTTGAGATCAGGAGTTCAAGACCAGCCTGGCCGACATGGTGAAACCCCATCTCTACTAAAAATACAAAAAATTAGCTGGGCGTGGTGGTGGGCACCTGTAGTCCCAGCTACTCGGGAGGCTGAGGCAGGAGAATGGCGTGAACCCAGGAGGCGGAGCTTGCAGTGAGCCGAGATTGCGACACTGCACTCCAGCCTGGGCAACAGAGCCAGACTCCATCTCAAAAAAAAAAAACAAAAAACAAAAAAACACTATGAAGATATTTTATTTAACCCAGTATATCCAACCTATTATCATTTCTACGTATAGTCACTATAAGTTACTAATTATTTATTTTACATTCTCTTTTCATGCTGTCTTTGAAATTGACGTGTCATTTGTGCCTACAATTCATCAGTTCCAGTGTTGTTTTCATGAGAAATAATTGATCTATATATATAGATTTCATGAAAATTACAGTTGAAAAACATTTAAATGTTTTCCAATAACTGTATCAAATACCAGGTTTTATAGGCCTCTTTTTTCAAGCGGCTGTGTGACTGATGTACAGTAAACACAACATGTGTCAGCCTATGTGAACACTCTTGAGAGCCTCACCCCAGTGAGGACGCTGAGCTCATCCGTCCCTCCGCTTTCATCCGGCATGATTAGTTTAGAACGTATCCGTGCTGTGGGTGTCAGGAGCTTCTTCTTCCTGTCCATTGCTGAGCTGTGTTTCCATTGTATGGGTTCCAACGTGGCCCCAAGATTCCCGCCCTGTTAGGTTGTTAGCCATCTTATATGGCAGAAAGGATATTTTCCCGTGTGATCAAGGTCACTAGTCTGTTGACTTTTAGTTAACCAAAAGGGAGATGTCCCAGGTGGGCCTGACTAAATCAGGCAAACCTTTAAAAGCACAGGGTCCTTCCCAATGTCAGACAGACACGAAGCTAGAGAGAGACTCTGCTCTTGGTCTTGAGGAAGTAAACTGCTGTGTTGTGGAGAAAGTGGGTGGCCTCTCACAGCTGAGGTCCTGAGACTCACGGCCAGAAGAAAACGAATGCTGCCAACAACCAGTGAGCGTGGAAGAGGATGCCCAGGCTAGGATGAGAGGGCAGCCCTGACCAACACCGTGATCTCAGCCTGTGAGCCCCTGAGCAGAGGTCCAACAAGCATGTTCCAGAATCCTGAGCCTTAGGAACTAGGAGATGGTACATTTATGTTGCTTTACATCATTACATTGTGCTAACTTGTTACACGGCAGTAAGAAACTAATCCACAGATCCAGTGCATCTGCTGATGGACGTTTGGGTGGTTCACTCTTTGAGACTCTTATAAATAAGCCACTGTGGCCGGGCGCGGTGGCTCACGCCTGTAATCCCAGCACTTTGGGAGGCTGAGGCGGGCGGATCACGAGGTCAGGAGATGGAGACCATCCTGGCTAACACGGTGAAATCCCGTCTCTACTAAATATACAAAAAATCAGCCGGCCGTGGTGGCGGGCGCCTGTAGTCCCAGCTACTTGGGAGGCTGAGGCAGGAGAATGGCGTGAACCCGGGAGGCGGAGCTTGCAGTGAGCTGAGATCGCGCCACTGCACTCCAGCCTGGGCGACAGAGCTAGACTCCGTCTCAAAAAAAAAAATAAGTAAATAAAGCTACTGTGAACATTTATAAGCAAGTCTTTGTGTGGACATGTGTTCATTTTTCTTGGATAAATACCTACCAGTGGAATGGCCAGGTTAAATGGTAGGTTCACATTTAATGTTTTAAGAAACTGCCAAATTCTATTCCAATGTGGTTGAACCAGTACATTTTCTCTAGCAGCGTATGGCAATTCCAGTTGCTTTCTATCCATGCGGCATCTGGTATTGTCAGTCTTTAAGTTTTAGCCGTTCTAACAGGCATACAGGAGTATCTCATTGTGATTTCGATTTTCACTTCCCAGATGACTAATGATATGAGACATCATTTCTTATGCCTATTTGCCATCTGTAAATCTTCGATGAACTGTCAGTTCAGATATTTTGCACATTTTTAATTGGGTTCATTTTCTTATTGTTTTCTGAGGGTTCTTTTCATCAAATAGGTAATCTATAAATTTTCCACCCAATACCTGGCTGCCATTTTATTCTCAATGGTGTCCTTTGAAGAGCACAAGTTCTTCATTTCAATTAAGTCCACTTCATCAACTTTTAAAATCATGTTTTGGTGTTTAAGGAATTTTTACCTAACTCCAATTTATAGATTTTCTCCTACATTTTATTCTAGAAACTTTATAGTTGTAGGTTTTACTGTTGTTTCTGTAATTTTTAAAATTTTTATTATTATTATTATTTTTGAGACAGGGTCTAGCTCTGTCACCTAGGCTGGAGAGCAGTGGTGCGATCACAGCTCACTGCAGCCTTGCTCAGCAATTCTCCTACTACAGCCCCCCAAGTAGTTGGGGCCACAGGCATGTACCACCGTGCCTGGCTAATTATTATTATTATTATTATTATTTTTTTTTTTTTTTTTTTGAGACGGAGTCTCACTCTGTCACCCAGTCTGGAGTGCAGTGGCGCGATCTCAGCTCACTGCAAGCTCCGCCTCCCAGGTTCACGCCACTCTCCTGCCTCAGCCTCCCGAGTAGCTGGGACTACAGGCGCCCGCCACCACGCCCGGCTAATTTTTTGTTTTGTTTTTAGTAGAGACGGGGTTTCACCGTGTTAGCCAGGATGGTCTCGATCTCCTAACCTCGTGATCCGCCTGCCTCGGCCTCCCAAAATGCTGGGATTACAGGCGTGAGCCACCGTGCCCGGCCTATTATTATTTTTTGTAGAGACAGATTCTCACTGTGTTGCCCAGGTTGGCCTCCAACTCCTGGCCTCAAACGATCCTCCTATTAATACCTTGGCCTCCCAAAGTGTTGGGATTACTGACAGGAGCCACTGCGCCTGGCCCTGTGATCAGTTTTTAGTTGATTTTTGCCTTTGGTGGGAAGAATGGATCAATATCAGGTTTTTTTTTTCGCATGAAGTAACTATTCCAGCACCATTTCCTTGAAATAACTGTCTTTCCTTTTTTTTTTTTTTTTTTTTTTTTTGAGATGGAGTTTTGCTCTTGTTGCCCAGGCTGGAATGCAGTGGCACGATCTCAGCTCACTGCAACCTCTGCCTCCTGAGTTCAAGCAAATCTCCTGCCTCAGCCTCCCAAGTAGCTGAGATTACAGGCACCCACCACCATGCCTGGCTAATTTTTTGTATTTTCAGTAGAGATGGGGTTTCACCATGTTGGCCAGGCTGGTCTCAAACTTTTGACCTCAGGTGATCCACCTGCCTTGGCCTCCCAAAGTGCTGGGATTACAGGTGAGAGCCACCAGGCGTGAGCCACCAGGCACGGCCGAAATAACCACCTTTCTCCACTGAATTGCATTTGCATCTTCTTTAAAATTCCCTTGACCATATATATTTGTGACTCTATTTCTAGTTGTTTTCAGTTGATCTTTGCCAATCTTGATGTCCTTACTCCATTCTCTTGATTTTGTAGCTTTAAATAAGTCTTGAAGACAGCATAAGCCCTTCAACTTTGTTCTACTTTTTCAAAATAGTTTTGGCTCTTCCAGTTCTTGGCATTTTGAAATAAATTTTAGAATCATCAATTTCTAAAGTCTATAGATCCATTTGGGAAAACTGACATCTTATAAAACTGAGTTTTCTAACCCACAGACACTTACTTACGTGTTTAATTTCTCTCAGCCGTATTTTGCAGTTTTCCATCTACAGCCCTTGTACATCTTTGCTCAGATTCAGCCTTGAGTGTTTCATTTTTTATGTAGTGTAAATAGTGTTTTTAAATTTCCATTTCCAACATTTTGTTGCTGATAGGTAGAAATACAATTGATGCTTACGTATTGATCTCATATCTTGGAATCTTGCTGGAATCACCTATTGATTATAGTGCTCTTGGTACAGATTCTGTAGAATTTCCTACATAGATGATCACATTATTTGTAGATAAAAACAGTTTTATTCCTTCCTTTTCAATTTGGATGCCTTTTGTTTCTTTCTTTCTTTTGTCTTATTATACTAGACTGAACCTCCCGTACAGTGTTGAATAGAAGTATTGGAAGTGGATTGCTGGGTATTCGTGGACATAAAGATGGCAACAGTAGACACTGAGGACTACTAGAGGGGAGGGAAGGAGGAAGACAAGGGTTGAAAAACTATTGGGTACTATGCTCAGTACCTGGGGGACAGGATCATTCGTACCCCAAGCCTCAGCATCATGCCATATACCCATGTGACAAACCTGCACATGTACCCTCTGAATCTAAAATAAATGTTGAAATTATAAAAGAAGAAAAGAAAGTGGATCACCTTGCCTTTTCCTGATCTTAGGGAGAAAGTATTCCAATTTTCACTGTTAAGTATGATGTAAGTGCAGGTTTCTCACCGATGCCTTTTATCCAGTTGGGGAACTTCTCTTCTATTATTAGTTGGCTGAGAGTTTTTATTGGGAATGGATTTTGGATTTTGTCAATGCTTTCTCGCATCTATGAGATGATTATGTGGTTTTTCCTTTAGTCTTTTAAAATGATAAATTGCAAAGGTTCTGTAACTGCCACCTCTGTCTAGTTCTAAAACATTTTCATCACCCCCAAAGAACATTTTATACTCATTAGCAGTTACTCACTACTACCCTCTCCTGCCATGACAACCAGCAGCCTGTGTTCTTTCCCTGTGTATGTACCTATTCTGGATATTTCATATAAATGGAATCCTGTGGCTTGTGGCCTTTCGTGTCAAGCGGCTTTCACATAACATAATCTTTCTGAGGTTCATTTATGCAGTGACATGTATCTGTACTTGATTCCTTTTTATGGCTGAATATATTCCATTGTATGTCTGTATCACAGTTATTTATCCATGCATCTGTTGATGGACATGTGGGTTGTTTCCCCCTTTTGGCTACTGAAGATAGTCCTGCTATGATCACTCATGTACAAGTATTTGTTTGAGGATCTGTTTTCAGTTATTTGGGGCATGTAACTGGGAGTGGAATTGCTGGGTCATTTGCTAATGCCATAGTTGACTTTTTGAGGAACTGTCAAACTGTCCTTTCACATTCCCACCAGCAACACACAAGGTTTCCCGTTTCTCCACATCCTTGTCAACACTTATCACTTTCTGTTTTGTTGATTATGGCCATCCTAGCGGGTGTAAAGTGGTATTTGATTGTCTTGTGATTTGCATTTTCCTAATGACTAATAATGTGGAATATCTTTTTATATTCTTCTTGGCCATTTGTGTATCTCTTTTGGAAAAATGTCTATTCAAGTATTTTGCCTGCTTCTTAAAAAATTGGGTTATTTGTATTTTCTTTAAGTTATAGGAGTTATTTATATGTTCAGAATACTAGACTCTTACAGGTGTATAAATTTGTGAATATCTTTCCATTTATTTAGATTTTCTTTAATTTCTCTTAAATAATATTTTATAGTTTTCAGTGTACAAGTCTTTCTCCTTTTGGTTAAATTTTTCTCCCATTTTGTAGTTTGTCCTTTCACTTTCTTTGTAATGTCCTTTGATGTACACAGGTTTTTAATTTTGATGAAGTCTAGTTTATCTGTTTTTTCTTTTGTTTCTTACACTTTTGGGGTTGCATCTAATAATCCATTGCCAAATCCATGTTTCTCCCCAGGTTTTCTCCTGAGAGTTTTATAGTTTTAGCTCGTATATATAGGTCTCTGATCCATTTTGAATTAATAATTATATATGGTAAGAGGTAGGGGTCCAATTTGATTTTTTTGCATGTGGATTTCCAGTTGTCCCAGCAACATAGAGACTGTTTTTTCCCTCATTGAATTAATGATGTTGGCTCCCTTTTCAAAAATCAACTGGCCAGTACCACACTGTTTTGATTACTGTAGCTTTGTAGTAAGTTTTGAAATCAGGAAGTGTGAGTCCTTCAACTTTGTTCTTTTTCAGGATTGTTTTGGCTATTTAGGGACCTTTGCAATTCCATATGTATTTTAAGATGGGTGGTTTTTTTGTTTTGTTTGTTTGTTTGTTTGTTTGTTTGAGACTGAGTCTTGCTCTGTCACCCAGGCTGGAGTGCAGTGGCACGATCTTGGCTCGCTGCAACCTCCACCTTCTGCCTCAGCCTCCTGAGAAGCTGGCATTACAGGCATGTGCCACTGCACACAGCTAATTTTTGTATATTTAGTAGAGATGAGGTTTCACTATGTTGGCCAGGCTGGTCTTGAACTCTGACCTCAACTGATCCAGCCCGCCTTGGCCTCCCAAAGTCCTGGGATTACAAGCGTGAGCCACTGCGCCCGGCCAGGATGGGTATTTTGATTTCTGAAAAAAAAGGCTGTTGGAATTTTGCTAGAGATTGCATTGAATCTGTAAATCACTTTGGTTAGTATTGCCATCTTTACACATTAAATCTTAGAACCCATGAACACAAATGTATTTCCATTTATTGAGACTTTCTTTAATTTATCTTAAATAATATTTTATAGTTTTCAGTCTGCAGATCTTTCTCCTCTTGGTTAAATTTATTCCTAGGTATGTTATTCTTCTGGATGCTACTATAAATGTAATTGTTTTCTTAATTCATTTTTCAGAGCATTAATAGATGATGTATAGAAATACAGCTGATATTTGTTTGTTGATCTTGTATCCTGCAACTTTGCTGAATTTGTTTTTTAGCTCTAATAGTTTCTTTGTGGATTCTGTAGGATTTTGTATATATGGGATCATGCCACCTGTGAATAGAGATCATTTTACTACTTCTTTTTAATTTCAAAGCCATTTATTTCTTCTTCTTGCCTAACTGCTCTAGTTAGAACGCCTAGTACAATGTTGAATAGCAATGGTAAAAGCGAGCATTGTTGTCTTTTTTTTTTTTTTTTTTTTTTCTGTGGAGATAGGGCCTGGCTCTGTCACCCAGGCTGGAATGCAGTGGTGTGATCTTGGCTCACTGCAACCTCGACCTCCCAGGCTCAATCAGCCTGCCCATCTAGCTTCCCAAGTAGCTGGCACCACAGGTGTGCACCACCATGCCTGGCTAATTTTTGCATTTTTTGGAGAGACAGGGTCATGCCATGTTGCCCAGGCTGGTCTTGAGCTGCTGGACTCAAGTTATGTGCCTGCCTTAGCCTCCCAAAGTGCTGTGTTTACAGGTATGAACCACCACGCTTGGCTTTGTCTTGTTCCTTATGAGAAGGTTTTTAACTCCAGTTGAAATTTCTTTGATAGATATAGTCATTCAGGTTATCTATTTTTTGTGAGATTTGGTAGTTTGTATCATTCGAATAATTTTTGCATGTCATCTAAATTTTCAACTGATTGGCATAAACTTGTCCATGGTATTTTCTTATTATCCTTTTTATTTATTTATTTATTTATTTATTCATTTTTAAATTTATTTATTTAAGATGGAGTTTCACTCTTGTCACCCATGCTGGAGTGCAATGGCACAATCTTGGCTCATTGCAACCTCCACCTCCCGGGTAAAGGTGATTCTCCTACCTCAGCCTCCTGAGTAGCTGGGATTACAGGCACACACCACCATGCCCGGCTAATTTTTGTATTTTTAGTAGAGATGGGATTTCACCATGTTGGCCAGGATGGTCTGAAACTCCTGACCTCAGGTGATCTGCCCACCTCAGCCTCCCAAAGTGCTGGGATTACAGGCGTGAGCCACTGTAACTGGCCTCTTTTTTTTTTTAGACAGAGTCTCGCTCTGTCACTCAGGCTGGAGTGCAGTGGCGCGATCTCGCTCACTGCAAGCTCTGCCTCCCGGGTTCACACCATTCTCCTGCCGCAGCCTCCCAAGTAGCTGGGACTACAGGTGCCCGCCACTACACCCGGCTAATTTTTTGTATTTTTAGTAGAGATGGGGTTTCACCGTGTTAGCCAGGATGGTCTCAATCTCCTGACCTTGTGATCCGCCCACCTCGGCCTCCCAAAGTGCTGGGATTACAGGTGTGAGCCACCGCCCCTGGCCCTCCTTCATGATTTTCTATCTGCTGGTTTTATCCATTATTGAGAAACAGATGACAAAAATCTCAACTAAGGTTGTGGTTTGTTTATTCTCGCAGTTCTATCAGTTCTTGCTTCATGTATTCTGAAGCTCTGTTATTAGGTGAACACATGCTTAAGATGGTTATATCATCTTTATGGATGACCCTTTGTCATTATGGAATGGCCTTCTTTACTATCCTATTATTTGATCTGAAATCTATTCCGATAATCATATAGATAAAATAATTATAGACATACCAGCTCTCTTTCCTTTTTACATACTTTCACTTTTAATCTATTTATGTCTCTGTATTTAAACTTGGGTTCTTGTAGACAGCATTTATGTGGTTCTTGCTTTCATATCCAATCTGAAAATCTCTGCCTTTTATGTTATTTTATTTATTTATTTAATTTTTTGAGATGGAGTCTTGCTCTGTCACTCAGGCTGGAGTGCAGTGGCACGATCCCGTCTCACTGCAACCTCCACCTCCCGGGTTCAAGCGATTCTCCTGCCTCAGCCTCCCGAGTAGCTGGGATTATAGGTGCACACCACCATGCCTGGCTTATATTTGTATTTTTTTAGTAGAGACAAGATTTCACCATGTTGGTCAGGCTGGTCTCAAACTCCTGACCTCAGGTGATCCACCCGCCTCGGCCTCCCAAAGTGCTGGGATTACAGGCATGAGCCACTGCATCCAGCCCAAATCTCTGCCTTTTAATTGGATTGTTTAGAACATTTACATTTAATGTGATTAAGATATTGTTGGATTTAAATTAACCACCTTCTATTTATTTATTTATTTATTTATTTATTTTTATTTATTTATTTCAAGATGGAGTCTCGCTCTGTTGCCCAGGCTGGAGTGCAGTGGTGCAATCTCTGCTCACTGCAACCTTCATCTCCCAGGTTCAAGTGATTCTTGTGCCTCAGCCTCCTGAGTAGCTGGGCATGCGTCACCACACCCGGCTAATTTTTGTATTTTTAGTAAAGATGGAGTTTTACTATGTTGACCAGGCTGGTCTCAAACCCCTGACCTCAAGAGATCTGCCAGCCTCGGGCTCCCAAAGTGCTGGGATTATAGGCATGAGCCATCACACCCGGCCGGCTGTTTATTTATTTGATCTGAAATCTATTCTGAAATCTATTTATTTATTTATTTATTTATTTATTGAGATGGAGTTTTGCTCTTGTTTCCCAGGCTGGAGTGCAGTGGTGCCATCTTGGCTCACTGCAACCTCTGCCTCCTGGTTCAAGCGATTCTCCTGCCTTAGCCTCCCAAGTAGTTGAATTACAGGCATGCATCACCACACCCGGCTAATTTTGTATTTTTAGTAGAGACGGAATTTCTCCATGTTGGTCAGGCTGGTCTTGTACTCCCGACCTCAGGTGATCCACCTGCCTCAGCCTTCCAAAGTGCTGGGATTACAGGTGTAAGCCACCATGCCTAGCCTTTATTTTTTAATTGTTTCATATGTTTTTCCTTGTATCTTTTTTTTTTTCTGACTTCTTTTGAATTAATTGGGTTTTTTTTTATGATTCTAGCTTATGTCCTTTGTTGATTTTTTAAGCTATATCCCTTTGCTGTGTTATTTTAGTGCTTAATTTAGGTATCATTCATTGCATTACTTTTCTGTTGCTACCCAAAACATTAAACCGATCTTGGTAATGTAAAACACAAATTTATTATTTTAGAATTTTCATGAGTCAGGGGTTCAGGGTCTCACAAGTGTGGGGCTTGGGTCTCATCTGTGTTTTAGTGTCTTCTTCCAAGCTCATGTGGCTGGTGGCAGAATTTATTTCCTTGCCACTGTAGACTGCATGGTGGCTTGCTTCTTCAAGACCATCAGGAGAGTCTCTGATGCAAGTATCTGACCTTTTTTTAAAAAAGCTTATCTGTTTAGGTTACACTCATGCAGCATAATTTCCCTTTTGATGATCTCAAAGTCAACTGATTACAGGCTTTACTTAAACTTGCAAAACTCCCTTCATCTTTGCCAGATAACATCACCTAATCACAGGAGTGACATCCATCATATTCACAGTCCTGCCTATACCTAAGAGGAGAGGGGATTGTATGGGGTGTGTACACCAGGGAGTAGGAATCCAGGGCCATCTTAGAACTCTTCTGACCACCACAGCTTGATCCCAGTCTCCCTCCAGGTGATAGTGAGAGGTGAAGCCAGCTGGACTTCCTGGGTCCAGTGGGGACTTGGAGAACTTTTCTGTGTCTAGCTAAAGGATTGTAAAAGCACCAATCAGCACTCTGTAAAAACGCATCAATCAGTGCTCTGTGTCTAGCTAAAGGATTGTAAAAGCACCAATCAGCACTCTGTAAAAATGCACCAATCAGTGCTCTGTGTCTAGCTAAGGGATTGTAAAAGCACCAATCAGCACTCTGTAAAAATGCACCAATCAACACTATAAAATGGACCAATCAGCACTCTGTAAAATGGACCAATCAGCAGGACATGGGCAGGGACAAATAAGGGAATAAAAGCTGGCCATCCCAGCCAACAGCGGCAACCTGCTGGGGTTCTCTTCCAGCTGTGGAAGCTGAGTTCTTTTGGTCTTCACAATAAATCTTGCGGCTGCTCACTGTTTGGGTCCGCGCCACCTTTAAGAGCTGTAACACTCACCGTGAAGGTCCGCGGCTTCATTCTTGAAGTCAGCGAGACCACAAACCCACCGGAAGGAAGAAACTCCAGACACACCACCTTTAAGAGCTGTGTAACACTCACTGTGAAGGTCCATGGCTTCATTCTTTTTTTTTTTTTTTTTTTTTTTTTTTGAGACGGAGTCTTGCTCTGTTGCCCAGGCTGGAGTTCAGTGGCGCGATCTCGACTCACTGCAAGCTCCACCTCCCGGGTTCCCGCCATTCTCCTGCCTCAGCCTCCCGTGTAGCTGGGACTACAGGCGCCCGCCACCATGCCCGGCTAATTTTTTTTGTATTTTTAGTAGAGACGGGGTTTCACCGTGTTAGCCAGGATGGTCTCGATCTCCTGACCTCGTGATCCGCCCGTCTCGGCCTCCCAAAGTGCTAGGATTACAGGCGTGAGCCACTGCGCCCGGCCCATGGCTTCATTCTTGAAGTCAGCGAGACCACAAACCAACCGAAGAAACTGTGGTCTCAATAGTGTGCTGCTGCATATATAGCATGAAGACATCCTGCCAGTGGCGTTCATGCTCCACTCAGCCTTGTGTTTGTATCACTTTCCTAGGGCTGCCTTAACAAAGTGTCACAGACTGGGATGGCTTAAAACAACGGAAATGTGTTCTCTCATTTGGAGTTCTGGATCAGGGGCTCATGGGACACATTCCCTCTGAACCCAATAGAACCCTTCCCTGCCTGTTCCCAGCTTCTGGCGGCTTGTTAGAAATCTTCTGCATTCCTTGGCTTGAAGCCGCATCACTCCAGTCTCTGCCCTCAGTGTCACATGGTGCTCTTCCTGTGTGCCCACGTCTTCTAAGGTCATTAGTCATGTTGGATTAGGAGTCCACCCCACCCCACTCCACTCCACTCCAGTGTGGCCTCCTCTTCACTCATTACATTTGCAGTGACCCTATTTCCAAATAAGGCCTCGTTTTGGAGATATTGGAGGTGAGGACTTCAGTCATCTGTTTAGGAGGGACTCAGTCCAACCGACGACAATGCTAGTGTTGTCATACATCTCTTTTCCACATATTTATAAACCCCACACTACAGTATTATTTTTGCTTTAAACACTCAAGTATGTTTTAAAGGCATTTTTTAAGTCTTTTATGTTTACCTGGTAGCTGCCATTTCCTTTGTCCCTGATCCCGGTGGGATTGCAGCCCAGCAGGACTGGCACATCCTGGGGAGGCACTGCCTGACTGCCAGTGATGGGAGGGGCAGAGCCCCAGGCTAGTAGTCCGCAGCCACGTGGGGTTCCTGTTCGTCCTCTTGCTCCTGCATTTAGGACAGGTACCCACCTGGGCGTGACGCATTTCGAGTTTCGTGTGAACAGTGATTGATAGTGCCCTGCGTGGTGATCCCTCCCATTTCTAGTTTTGTGTGAACATTGATTGATAGTGCTGTATGCGGCGATCCCTCTTGGTGTTTCTTTGCAATTGAAATTAAAGGGTTAGTGGGTGAAGAGGGGCACAGGTGGACTTTTCAGGGTCTGGAAATGTTCTGCTTCTCAATCTGGGTGCTGGTGGCCTGGTTCACTTCGGAGATCTCATCTAGCTGCACGCTTCAAGCTTGTGTGCTTTCCAGGATGTAGGTTATACTCCAGTAAAAAGGTAAACAACACAACCACAGCCATGCTGGCTGAAAAGAGAAGCTGGAGGCACCAGGGCCCCTGCTTGTGGCAATGGGTTTGGCCGTTCCTTGGGCAGGAGCCAGGTCCTGGGGTGCTCCCACCGATGGCCAGTCTGGGGCAGCGGCTTTGCTCCTGGCACCTCTGGGCAGGGACCTGGGACTCAGGAGCAATGACATCTCTGAAAGGACTCTGCAAACTGTGAAGTGAGGTACACACATGTCAGACTGCAAATTGTTAAGTACTGTGCACATGTCAGTCTGACTGCAAACCAAAGCATGGTGCACCGGCCAGTTTGTCTTCTGACTGCTTTGGGTCGTGGAGCTCGTCTCAAACAGCAGCAGTGGTGGCACTGGCTTTAGGAAAGAGGCAGCTTTGTGGCTGTCATAAATCTGACAGCAGCGGCCAGGCCACCCTTTCCACCAGCCTGCATGTGCACAGCTGACTTGGAGTCAATCAGACCTGCTCTTTGTCGAACTCAAGCATGCCCTAAATGCTTCTACTTGTTATTACCTCCACAGACTGAGAGTGGCTGGAGAGAGAGGCAGCTGTGCCCGCTGCCTTTTTGTGTAATTGGCTGCTGGCTTTCCCCCCAGAGCTGCTGGTGGATGTGCTACAGGCAGTGTGAGCAGGCCACCGCCTCCCAGGGCTTGGGGTGGCCCTGGCCTGCCCCCGCCTAGCTGGCAGCTCCATCACTGCACTCCACCTTCTCTCTGCCCACTCGCCCGGTCCTTCCTTTCCTTTGTGCTTTTCTTTCTGTTGGTAAAAGTAATAAAAACTCGTTGACGGACGCAAAGCCAGGAATGTAGAGAGGGTAAAGGAGGAAACTGACACCTCTTACTCCCCCAGTTCCACATCATGAGTCTGCTATCATTTAATGTACACGACTTATCTCTGGGTACACGGAGATGTACGTTTTTGTTTTGCAAAGATCCATTCATCCGAAGCATAGTGTGCATTGTTTGGCTTCTCTCCTTCAGTAGCTCAGAGCTTCTTCCTCAGGGTTCCTTTCAGTATTCCTTGAATGGAGAGACCACAGTTTGCATACCTGACGCCCAGTGGCAGGACGCGTCTCCTTCCCAGCCTCTCGGCAGCGTGGGAGCCTCCTCACCCTGGCAGCTGCTGTATTGATCACTGCTTTCTTGCTGGGTTAGCTCCTTAGGGTAATTGCTGGGTCTGAGGTCAAAGGTGTCGGTGCAGGCTGGTGCAGGCTGGCTTCTGCCTTCACGCCCCTGTCCTGGGTTGGTCTGCTCAGCACACCATGGGTTCCCTGGGCTGCTCCACTCCCTGTGCACCACTGGCCCATCCATCGGCCCTTCTCTCCTGAAATGCTGCCCTCTGGGCTTCCAAGCCCCCTCCTGTCCCTGGGCTTCCTGCTGCTCTTACCTCCCACCACCCTCTACTCCCTTCTCCCTGCAGCCTCCCTCATCTCAGACAAGTCACCCAGGTGGGTAACGCACAAACCCCGGGGGCTGAGTGCTCCCTTTATGTCAGCAGTCCCCCTCCTGCATCCAAACATCAACACGGCCCATGCACGCCACCCTCCCAATCTGCGCAGAATGCAGGCACTGGGCTGCATGCCCCTGATTCCAGCTCGATCCAGACCCACGACTCTCCCTCCAGCCCCAGCCCGTTCTTCACTCAGCAGGCAGAGACGCTGCAGGACTATCCCATGGTCATAAACCCGCCTCCTCCCGGCCCCAGGCCCCATGGCCGGGGGCCTCCCTCATCCTGCTTCAGCCCTCAGACCTTGCTGTCCTTGGCTTCCTCCCCACTCCGCTCCTTGGCACCTGCGCCCCTCCCCCCCCAAGAACATTCTCCAGTCCCTTCTGCTGTTGAATTTTAGACCAGCTGTCCCCTCCACATATCAGCCGGGGGTGCATTAGGCCCATTTTACATATAAGGCTGTCTGAGGAAAGTGACGCCCCGGGGTCTCATGGCCAATAAGGACCCCGCCCACATCTGCGCCGTGGTCTGCTGCGTGGAAAGCCGGTGATGAAAGCCAGCAGCAGCTGGTGATGGTGCACTTCAGAGCTGGGGTGTTAGGTTCTTTCTATTTCAAGTGGAGAAACCCACCTCAGACTTAAGGACTCAGAAAACGCATTTGCTTCTGTAAATAAAAAGCCCTGGGATAGCCAGTCACGGTGGCTCACACCTGTAATCCCAGCACTTTGGGGGGCTGAGGCGGGCAGATCACTTGAAGTCAGGAGTTCGAGACCAGCCTGGCCAACATGGTGAAACCCCGTCTCTACTAAAAATACAACAATTAGCCTGGAGTGGTAGTACATGCCTGTAGTCCCAGTTACTTGGGAGACTGAGGCAGGAGAATTGCTTGAATCCAGGAGGCAAAGGCTGCAGTGAGCTGAGATCACGCCACTGTACTCCAGCCTAGGTGGCAGAGTGAGACTCGTCTCAAAAAAAAAAAAAAAAAAAAAAAGCCAGCCGGGTGCAGTGGCTCACACGTGTAATCCCAGCACTTTGGGAGGCTGAGGCAAGCAGATCACGAGGCCAGATAGAGACCATCCTGGCTAACACAGTGAAACCCTGTCTCTACTAAAAATACAAAAAAAAAAAAAAAATTAGCCAGGCTTGGTGGTGCACGCCTGTAGTCCCAGCTACTCAGGAGGCTGAGGCAGGAGAATCACTTGAACCTGGGAGGCGAAAGTTGCGGTGAGCCGAGATCATGCCACTGCACTCCAGCCTGGGCAACAGAGCGAGACTCCACCTCAAAAAGAAAAAAAAAAAAAGCCCAAGGTGGGCTTCAGGCATGGCTGGATGTGGGACATGGTCTCGGTCTCTGTGAGTCTTGGCTCCGTTTCCTCCATGTGGGCCCCTTTCACAAGAAAGCCCCCACCAGCTCCATACTTACTTCCTGTCCTTACCTTGCCCTGAGCAGAGAGAGAGGCTCTGCTCAGACAGTTCAAATAAATGTCCCACGAACTGAGTCTGGTGGCCCACCCAGGTGACATGCCTGCCCATGGATTTATCCCAGAGGCCAGGGAGATGAAAGGCACTGAGTGGCTGGGCCTGGATCACATGCCATCCCAACTGTCACAGACCAACGCAACTCCTTCCCCAAGTGGCACCAGGGCCATGTCCTCCTACCACGGGCAGGAGAGGAAGGACAAATGGGCTCTGTTTTCAGAGGGAAGAACAGATGCTGGCCAGGCAGAAGCCGCAGAGGCCATGGCCTTGGACAGCTGCAGCAGGGCTGAGCCTTGGCAGGGGTCCCGGAAGGAAGCCCGGGGCTCTGCCCTGCCCGTGGACTGCTGCGGCCCAGCCGGGCAGATTGCGCAGGCACTCACCGAAGAGCTTTTGCTGGGGCTGCTGGGACTAAGGAAGGTTAAAAATGGAGCCGATGAACAGCCTGTGTCTTTGGGGAAGCTGCTGGGTGAGCCGGGCAGGCCAGCCCCTTCACTGGGTGGGGAGGTGGGGCCGGAAAGGGAAAGCAGCCCCTGGCTTCGGGGCTGAGGGGCTGATGTGCACATGGTTTGAATGCATCCTCTACTCGGCTGGACGTTTCTGGAAGTAGCCCAGCCAGCCCCCCATCCCACTGCCCCTCATCCAGCCCCTCCGTCAGGCTCTGAGAGTCTCACCTCTCACCCTGGTCCTCCTCCATGCTGGCAAAAGTTGCCGTCCCTTGGAAACCCCTCGTCTGCAGCCCTCTCCTCTGGGAGGTTGACCAAGGTTGGGTGGGAGTTGGAGGCCAGGCCAGGGGCCCTGTCTTGGGTTATGCCAGGGGGAGACATGGGCAGGACTGACCACTGCCCAACCCTGACGGCTGGCACCACGCAGCAGTCATGCTTTCATAGCTTCTGCTGTGGCTGAATCTTTCTGGAAAAAAGTATTAGCCCCGGGACCAGGCGCGGTGGCTCACGCCTGTAATCCCAGCACTTTGGGAGGCCGAGGCGGGCGGATCATGAAGTCAGGAGATCGAGACCATCCTGGCCAACATGGTGAAACCCCATCTCTACTAAAAATACAAAAAATTAGCCGGGCATGGTGGCAGACGCCTATAGTCCCAGCTACTCGGGAGGCTGACACAGGAGAATGGCGTGAACCCGGGAGGCGGAGCTTGCAGTGAGCCGAGATTGCGCCACTGCACTCCAGCCTGGGCGACAGAGCAAGACTCCATCTCAAAAAAAAAAAAAAAAAAGTATTAGCCTTGGAAAGCCAAGGCCCTCTGTTACCTGAGTGGCACAGCTGGGCCCGCACAGGCAGCCTTTCCCCTCTGCCTGGTCCTGGCAGGGGCAGGAGGGTGCGATGGATGGCGCGGGGCCTGCCTCATGCAGAGCCCAGAGCAGCAGAGACTTGGCCAGAAGTCGTTATTGTGGTGACTGGATTGATGGGCTCAGGTGAGGCTGAGTCTTCGCAAGATTAAAACAGGCACTCAGCGTGGCTGGGTCAAGTGCCCTCCCACGGCTGCTCTGCCTGCCAGAAGCCTGCAGGAGTGGGGAGGCCTGGGGCTGGGGCCCCTGCCTCCAGGGCCCACCTGCTCTCTGGGAGGCATGGCCACCAGGGCCCAGGCCAAGGGACTTTTGTCTAAGAGACCCCAAACCAGGAGGTCCTGAAGTCCACCCTATCCAACATCCACGTGTCCTTGTCTCCTTGTGGCCAGCGATGTGGCCTCTTTGGGTTGGGCTGATGACTGAACACAGTAATGCAGCATTGTCACTGTCTCTAGCCATTATTATGTGTTTCTTTGAATACCTTTCTTTTTTCTTCGAGACGGAGTCCCGCTCTGTCGCCCAGGCTGGAGTGCAGTGGCGTGATCTCCGCTCACTTCAAGCTCTGCCTTCCGGGTTCACGCCATTCTCCTGCCTCAGCCTCCCGAGTAGCTGGGACTACAGGCGCCCGCCACTGCGCCCGGCTAATTTTTTATATTTTTACTAGAGACGGGGTTAGCCAGGATGGTCTCAATCTCCTGACCTCGTGATCTGCTGCCTCAGCCTCCCAGAGTGCTGGGATCACAGGCGTGAGCCACCGCGCCCGGCCCTTTGAATACATTTTTAAAGGCATGTCACTATTGCATTAGAGCTCATAGATATTCTTGGCGGGGAGAAGTGGTCGTTTTAAACTGTGGATTGATGCGGGGGACATGAGCATGTGAACAACACAGGGACTGCTCAGGCTCGGGAAATGTCCCGAGTGTGGCCCTGGAGTGGCTCCTTCAACAAGCACCGAAATGCAGGTTCATGGCCTGAGGGTCCTGAGCCCAAGGCCGGGCTCTTAGCAGGACTCAGGGGGCTGCACATGGCAGGTGTGCCCAAGAAGCCCCAAATCTGAGACTCCTTCTCTGCTTGAAGGAGCTGGCCAGGATGAGTCTGGAGAGCAGCAGGGCTGCTCAGGAGCTGGGGCGAGGCCTGGGCATCTGCATTTTCCAGAAGCTCCTCTGGCGTCTGGGGGCCTCTGAGCATGCTGAGGGTGGGCACAGGTGTCCAGTGCCTGCCCTGCACAGAAACGCCTTTCCCCGGCGCTGGGGGGGCTCCAACCCCAGAGGCTAGGCCAGGCTGGCTTCTGCAAAGTTGCCCATAGCCAAGTGACCTCTTACACAGGACTTGGGTTCTCACACCATCTGCTCCTGGTCTGGAGTGTCTTCCAGGATGGCGGCTGGGTCCCTGGTGTGGAGCCCTGGGCAGCAGGTGCTGGCCGCTGGGGCCTTTCCCCACCTGAGCTGCCAGGGTCCCTCTGTGTGGAGACCCTCTCAAGTCTGAAGCAGAGTCCCTGTGCCTGGCAACCCTAAACCCACTCTCAGAAGATGATAAAACCCACTATCAGTTCAAGTCTGCAAGAGGGGTGGGACAGTCTCGTGACCTCATGTTCTAGCTGAGTGACATACATAGCACAGGTCGGCCCCTCTCTCTGAGCCTCGGTTTCCCTTTCTGGGAAAAGCAGATCAGAGAACTGCTGCGCAGTGAAGTCAAGCAGGAACCGGTCACGATCGTGTGTGCGATCTGTGCGCATGCTGTCTGAGTGCTGGCTGTGGACCACAGCCCAGAGAGGGGCCTGCACCCAGGATTCCATGTGGAGCCACTGGGCTGGGGGTTCAGATGCACCCCACACACACATGCACGCACACACACACACACACACAGACACACACATGCGTGCACACACACACACACGTGCGCACACACAGACACACGTGCACACACAGACACACGCACACACGCACACACAGAGACACACGTGTGTACGCGCACGCACACACAGACACACACGCGCACACACAGACACACATACACACAGACATGCACACACGCACATGCACAGACACACACGTGTGCACATGCACGCACGCACACACAGACGCACACACATGCATCTCTGACAAGGGCCTTTTCTCTGCCTGCTTGAAGTTTCTGAGGGAAGCCAGAGAAAACAGTATGTTTCTTTGTTTTATCATAAACTGATGACTTCATCTTCCCTCGTTCTTCCCAGAAAAGACGATGACGAATTTGTTAAAGTTTAGCTGTGAGAGCCTCTTCTTATAGCAAGAATGAGAAGTATTTAAATGGCTCCTTGCTTTTTGGAGTTATTTTCAGATAAACAGTCTGCCCGAAGTCACTCAGCATTCATCAAGCCCACACCACGGCCCAGGCTCCATGCACTGAGTGTTTCTCTGGTGCCCACCGTCTCCAGGCGGAAGGAGCCCCCGAGAGCAGCAGCGAGGAGGACCACACTTCCCCAACTTTCTGAGACCATCCCCACGTCTGGGCCCCCCAACCCCTGAGCCTCCATGTCATGGATCACAATGAATGAAAAATTGCGCAGGTTTTTTTTTTTTTTTGGTGGTTGTTTTGAGACAGTCTCGCTCTGTTGCCCAGGCTGGAGTGCAGTGGCACAATCTCAGCTCACTGCAAACTCCGCCTCCCGGGCTCAAGCGATTCTCCTGCCTCAGCCTCCCTAGCAGCTGGGATTACAGGCGCCCACCACCACGCCCAGCTAATTTCTGTATTTTTAGTAGAGACGGGGTTTCACCATGTTGGCCAGGCTGGTCTCAAACTCCTGACCTTGTGATCTGCCCACCTTGGCCTCCCAAAGTGCTGGGACTACAGGCGGGAGCCACCGTGCCCGGCCAACTGCACCAGTTTTAACTCATTCCCCCAAATTTGAAATTTAGGGGAGAAATGAAATTCTTTTCTCTTTCAATTCTTATTTCTCTGTCATTTAAGATTTTCCAGACCTTGACAGATACATCTCCAGCTAGAAGGAAATGGCCCCAGGGAGTGACGTCCACATAGCTGCTTCTGCTTAGACAGCTGTAGTCAGTGTGGGATCTGCCTTCCCCACCTCAGGGTCCCCTTCATGGCCTACACCCTGGGCAGCCACAGAGGCTTTGGTCTGGAAACCGGGTGGCAGGCTTAGGTGGGGCAGAGGGAGCAGGTGACGGAGACAGTGAGGTGGTGGCATCCCCAGGTCGAGGGGCAGCCCTTGGTTCTGGCCAACAAACAGTACCAGGCAGGAATGCAGGCCCTGTGTAGCTGGCTCTTCTGAGTTTTTGCAGGAAAGCAGACGCACTGATTCTCCTGAAAGGCCCCAGTGTGTAAATAAGGCCAGTAAATTCGCAGTCTAAAAGGGCATTATGCAACCCATGCAGGACACCCAGGCGGCTTGTCAACTGCAGGTGACTTAACTGGAGCAGGCAGGAGAGCCAGGCAGGGTGCCGCAGGTCCTGCCAGGGGACAGAAGGGCCCCAAGGGCTGTGCTCAGCTGCCAGGGTCAGGTTGGGGCAGAGGAAAGGAAGATGCATTGACCCTCAGGGCCTCAGCTGGCAGACTGGCAGGAAAGGGCAACCCAGAAGAGGATAGAGCATGGGCAAAGGCATGGAGGCGGGAGCACAGGGAGAGGCACAGGGAGGTGAGGAGCACAGGGAGGCAGAGGACAAGGGAGGTGAGAAGCGCAGGGTGGCAGGGAGTACAGGAGGCAGGGGGCACAGAGATGAGGAGCACAGAGGAGCCCAGGGAGGTGGGGAGCAGGTGGCAGAGGTGGCCTGGCCTCCCCTCTTGGGGAGCTGGGCGTGAGAGAAGGGCTGGGAGCCCGAAGCTCTGGGGTGGAGCCTCAGGCAGAGATTCTGGAGAAAGGACAGTACAGACCTGGCTCTTTGCCAGCTGGGGCTGGAAGGCCCTGGCAGACACCCGGGGCTAGGCTTTGTGGGAGGGTCTGAGAGAAGTGGCGGGCAGGCAGCATCTGGAGTGGAGTGTGCCACAGATTCCGTGTCAGGCTGCTGTGCCCCCTGTCCCTCTGCCCCTCAGCCCTCATTTCCTTGGCTGCCTCATGACCCCTGGGCCCTGGTCACATGCAGGAGAGAGGCCAGGGGAACACACGCAGCAGTAGAGAGCTGGGCATCCCAGGCCAGGTGGCCGTTCCTGCCTAGGAGGAGGCATGGGAGCCTTCCTGGAGGTGGCATCTAAGGGCTGGGGGAGCAGGTGGGAGGGACCACCAGCCATCTGGGCATGCTGGGGCCCTGAGTGCTCAGGCAGGCTTGGGACACCCAGTGGCTGCTGTTGCCCACTGTGCTCTCATCACAGGGAAGGTGGCCCTGCCCGTCCTGCCTGGCCTACCTTTAGGTGAATCGGACAGGGTAGATGGGCAGGGCAGAACACACAGATCTATTTATAGCTATTGAGACTTTTTAAACACTATTTTTATTCCTATGAATGTAAGGGTAGAAGTGCAGATTCCTTGCGGGTGTCGGCCTTTAGTGCACCCACTGACCCCACCCCTAACCCAGTAGGCCCACCTATAGCATGGGTCTCGTGAGCCCACTTTACAGATGTGGAAGCTGAGGTCCGACAGCTGAGGGGCCCGCCCCACAGCCAGGCAGCGGAGGAGACCCCAGTGGGCCCACACCCTGGCTGCCGAGCAGGTCCTGGCCCTCACAGCCTTACCTCCCAAGACCACTCTTTGAATTGACTCCCAGAAGCCGCAGGGAGAAAACAAAGCATTTATTTTTGCTACGCATTCGCTGTTCTCCAGAGTGCCGAAGGGTGTTTGTCAGGAGGTGTGGGTGACACACGCCATCACTTGGAGACAGAACTGGCTATTTTTGCCCTAGACTCTGGCATCCCTGCAGGGTGCCCACTGCAGTGTGCAGGTGCTCAGGCAGCTCACGCTGACCTGCGTGGGGACAGAGCCTGGGACCCAGGGGCTGAGTGTGAGTGCTGTGGAGGCCTGCCCTGGAACAGACAATCCACACGTGTGACAGTTATTTCAGCACGTCCCTCGGCCTCGGAGGTGGGCTCTGAGGGTGCTGGGGTGCTTGTCACTGCGGGGTCTCCCATCTTCTCATGGGCGGGTTGGATTCCCCGGGCTGTAGGAGGAGGTGCTTGTTAATGTCCTTTTTCCACCAGTCTTCAGGTCTGAACACGAGGCTGCTGCTGTGGCCTCTGGGGTCAGCAGTTTAGGACCTGCCCTCCCTTCCCCAGAAACAGGTCACACTTCTTCCAGATCCTCCCAAGCAGAAAGTCCCGGGCTCCTGCAGCTCAGAAGCCTCAGACCCTAAGCTCCTGAGAATGGTTTTCCTCCCTGTGCTCCCCTGGCTCCTTCCCCCTGAAGATGTGAAGCCCTCGGGGGTCCCACTCCTGGGCTGGGGGAAGGCCACAGGATGCCTGGATGGGGGTGCCTGGCTGCACGCGTCTCACACTGTGGTCCCTGAGTCCTGGAACTCCGGCCGCGTCTTCTGACCTGGGCCATCTGCATGCTCTCTGGGATTCAGGGCCTCCAGTTTGGAGCAGCAGCGCTGACAGCCCCTCCTCCCCACTCTCCAGGCAGGGAAAGGCCCCCAGGGCAAGGTGGGGACAGGGGACAGGGGCAGGGGCAGGGAGCCCTGCCTGCAGGCAGACCCACACCTGCCACCAAGTTCCGACTTTGGCCCTGAAGACAAGCGGAGCAGGACCGGGGTATGCCACAATGCACCTGTGAAGCCTGTTTGGCTGTCGGGGCTCCGAGGCAGGTGGCCAGGCAGGCAGGCCCGGGAGGGAGAGGTCTGGTGGCCCCATGCAGGACTGGGGTAAAGGGAGAGCACCGCTGGGGGGCCAGGTGTGGCTCGTGACTGCCACAGGGACCTCCGGAAGGTTCGATGAAAGAGGAAACCAGATGGTGACTTTGGCAGGTCTCAGGAGGGCAGTGAGCCTGGCCAGGGCGGGGGCTCCGCGGGGACAGGCGAGGACCAGGCAGCAGCTGCGTAGCGCGGGGGCTGGAAGGACAGTACCCCTCGGCTGGGGCGTGGGGAGTTGAATGAGACGCTACAACTTGCGTCCCTGGCCCTGCTGGCTTCACACATCTCAGAGCAAGTGGGATTTTCACACAGAGCCCGATATTCATTCTCGTGGTAAATAGGACGCTTGTTTTCTCCCTCACAGAACAGGCCCGCGCCCCTCCTTGCAGCTGCCTCCTGGCTGGCGGCCCTATGGGAGCAGCCGGGTCACCTCTGTCAGCCTCAGCCCTGGCCAGGGCCTCCTGAGCTCTCGGCCCCTCCCCTGCTGCCCGGCTTGGTCCCCTCCCGCATCCCGGGGGCCATCATTCACTCACTCACTCATCCACTCGGCCAGGAGGCTTTTGCTGAAACCTGCTCTAGTGCTGGGGTGCAGCCGCGAGCAGGAACAGGCAAGGTGGTGCCCCAGTGGAGCTCCCAGTCCCTGGGGAGACACATGGATTTGGATTTGGAGAAAAGCCACGAGGAAAATGAAACGGGGTCCAGGGTGGAGAGCGGCTGGGCAGCCAGTGCCGTGTGGAGCAGTGGTCACGGAAGGTCTCCGAGGGAGGGGCAGGCAGAAGCCCTGCGGAGGCCTGGAGCAGGGAGCCCAGGGGGAGGACAGCAAACACGCAGCCCCAGGGCGGGAAGGCAGCCTGCACAGGGGGAGGGCGAGGGGAGAACTGAGGCTGGGCCAGAGAGGCGGGCTTGGAGCCCCATGGGGTCGGGGGGTGGGTGCTGGGGGGTGCGCATGGGGCTACGAGAAGGGCCAGGGCAGGTTGTGTGACGTAGCCAATGAGGGTGCAGACCAAGTCCCCACGCTGTGCTGGGTACACAGGCTCACAGCCTCTCCATGCTCATGATCCTTGTTGTGCATAGGGAAAACTGAGGCTCAGTGAGGAGCCCGCCCCCCTGCCCCCACTGCTCACGTCCCCCAGCCCCCTCTCCCAGCTGACCAGCAGCCCTCTCCAGACCTTCCCCTTGGGCCCTGTTGCTCAGAGGACCTTTCCTTCACTTCACTCACTTCCTCTAGTGGCTGCCTCCAAAACCCATGGGCCCCTGCCCCCAACCACTGCATTTGTGAACGCTGCTTCCAGGAGCAGACACTGGAGCCCCCTTCAAAGGGGCCAGGGGATGTGTTCCAAACAGAGGGAACCATGAAGGCCCTTACTCCGAGGCGAGGTGGGAGTGTGGATGGCCTGTTCGGGGCGCAGCCAGCAGGGAGTTAGATCTGTTCTAGTCTTGCTTACTTTGTTTCATAAAATCAGCTCGTTTGTTAAAATAAATATATTTTGTAATGAAATATTATATTCCTACCTAAATCATCAGTATCACTTCCCGTAAATAGAAAGTGACCATAAACATTAATGTAATGAAAGCAAACGTGATTTATTTTTAAAATGAATGAAATTGCAGCATAAACAACAGCTTTCTGGTTCTGGGCTAGTCTGAGCATACTCCACTCTCCCACTGAACACAGCTTAAAACCAACAGAACGCACAGAGAAGCTACTTGAGGGCTTTGAAAACTGGCATTTGGAGTACTACCCAGCTGGAAGTAGGTTTGCCGTTTTTCCCCCGCTCTAGCCAAGCCTGCACTCAGGGCAGCATGGAACCTGGACGGACATCAGCACTGACAGTGAACTCCAGGAGAAACCCTCTGCTTCTGGTTTGAGGAACGGGAGGAGGGTCTCTTATTATTCACAGAGCATGGAGAAAATCCATTTTAAAAATCTTTGCTCTCTCATACCCCAGCCCACAAGTAATCCCATGGGAGCATTGCGTAGGTCCCACAGGAGCCCAGAATTCCAAGAGGGCGAGGCCTTCCTCTCTGAGGGGAGGAGCTGTTGCCTCAAGGAAGATGAACTCCCGGCTTCTCTTTCACTCTCTGACCCCCACACCTTGGCCCTGGAATCAGGCATAGCCCTGGCAAGTGCACAGCAAAACCAAGGAAGGAAAGCCCTAGCTTTCTGGCTCGACGACGGAAATGCAGAGCCCCAGGAAACTGGAAGATACCATAAAGATTGCTCAGGAAAGCAATCCCCTGGAGTTTTTTGGTTGTTGTTTTTTTTGTTTATTTATTTTGAGATGGAGTTTCGCTCTTGTTGCCCAGGCTGGAGTGCAGTGGCGCCATCTCGGCTCATGGCAACCGCCACCTCCCGGGTTCAAGCAATTCTCCTGCCTCAGTCTCCCGAGTAGCTGCGATTACAGGCATGCACCACCAGGCTCGGCTAATTTTGTATTTTTTTAAGTAGAGACGGGGTTTCTCCATGTTGATCAGGCTGGTCTCGAACTCCTGACCTCAGGTGATCTGCCCACCTCAGCCTCCCAAAGTGCTGGGATTACAGGTGTGAGCCACTGCGCCTGGCCTTTTTTTTGTTTGTTTTTGTTTTTGTTTTGTTTTGTTTTTGAGAGTTGTTTATTAATTCCTGGGCTTATCCTTAAGCTGCAGGAGCATGGCATTAACCCATCATAGGCTTTGACAACTATAGTACAAAATAAAACACGGCCCAGGTCTCAGACTGGCCGCTAGGTAGCACACGAATTTAAATACCAACTCAGTGACTTTGAAAACAGAGCTTACGTGGAACCACAACCCACAGAAGCCTAAACTTTTGGCCCAAGCCATTCTGGGTCAATTATCTGCCAAAACAAAAATATAAATATTCTCCATAGGATTTAAACAAGACCCAGAATTCCATAGCATAGTATTCAAAATGTGCAGACCATTCAGAATTACTTAACCTGTGAAGAAGTAGGAAAATCTCAACCTGCACAGGAAAAGATAATGAGCAGATAGATAACACTAAGATGAAACAGACATTGGGATTATCGGACAGAGACTTGAAAGCAGCTATTATGAAAATGCTACATCAAGTAAGGGCAAATGTTCTTGAAACACATGGAAAGCTAGAAAGTCACAGATAAGAAATAGAGGTATAAAGAAACAAATGGACATCCTAGAACTGAAAAATACAATAACCAAAATTTTATTTAATTAATTTATTTTATTATTTATTTATTTATTTAGAGACAGGGTCTCACTCTGTCACCCAGGCTGGAGTGCAGTGGCGCAATCTTGGCTCACTGCGCCTCCGCCTCCAAGGTTCAAATGATTCTCCTGGCTCACCTTCCCACAAAATTTTAAAATTCACTGGATGGACTTAATAGCAGAATGGAGATGACAGGGGAAAGGATCAGGGATATTGAAGATAGTTCCACAGAAATTATCCAATCTGAACAACAGAGAGAAATTGAGAGAAAAATTAAGAGCCTCAGGCCTCTGGGGGACAATAGCAAAAGCTCTAACATTTATGTCACTAGAGTCTCAGAAGGACAGGAGAAAGAGTGCGGCACAGAAAAAAAGCATTTGAAAACATAATAGCTGGAAACTGTCCAATTTAGTCAAAGACATAAACTTACAGTTCAAGAACCCGCCAGACAGGATGAATCTCAAGCAGAATAAAACACAAAGACACTCCATGCCCAGATACAACATAATCAAACTACTGAAAATTAAGTCAAAGAAAAAATATTGTAAGCAGCCAGAGAAAAATGATATTTTACTTATAAGGGAAGAATGGTTCAAATGACTGTGGACGTCCTTTCAGAAGCCATAGAGGCCAGAAGTAAGTGGAACAAGAGTTCTAAAAGAAAAGAACTATCAACTCATAACTCTACATCTATTAAAAATATTCTTCGGGGCTGGGTGCAATGGCTCACACCTGTAATCCCAGCACTTTGGGAGGCCGAGGCGGGTGGATCATCTGAGGTGAGGAGTTTGAGACCAGCCTGGCCAACATGGTGAAACCCCGTCTCTACTAAAACTACAAAAATTAGCTGGGCATGGTGGTGGGTGCCTGTAACCCCAGCTACTCAGGAGGCTGAGGCAGGAGAATCGCCTTAATCCAGGAGGTGGAGGTTGCAGTGAGCTGAGATCGTGCCATTGCACTTCTAGCCTGGGTGACAACAGTGAAACTCTGTCTCAAAAAAAAAAAAAAAAGAAAAATTCTTTGGGAATGAAGGTGATATAAGACACACTCGGGTAAAGGGAAGCTAAGAGGGTGTGTTGCCAATAGAACAGCTCTGCAAGCACTGCTCACAGAAGTTCTTCTGGCCAAAGGGAAGTGATACTGGAAGGACACATACATGGGGAATGAAGGAAGAGCAACAGAGACAGTAACTGTCTGTGTCAATATAATAGACTCCTCTGTCCCTCTTGAATTTTTAAAGTATGTTTGATGGTTGAAAATGAAAATAACAGTGTCAGATGGCATTTTCAATGTATGCAGACCTACAGTATAAACAAGGGAGGATGAAACTTAATGCCTACGGGGTGGCAAGTTTCTAGATTCCACTTGAAGTGTTGGAATATTTATTCTAAATAAACTGTGAAAAGTTAAATATATATATATGCTGTAATCTCTAGTGCAAACCATGAAAAAACTATACCAAAAAATGAAAAAATTAGGCCGGGCGTGGTGGCTCACGCCTGTAATCCCAGCACTTTAGGAAGCCGAGGCGGGCAGATCACGAGGTCAGGAGATCAAGACCATCCTGGCTAACATGGTGAAACCCCATCTCTACTAAAAATACAAAAAATGAGCCGGGTGTCATGGCAGGTGCCTGTAGTCCCAGCTACTCAGGAGGCTGAGGCAGGAGAATGGTATGAACCCGGGAGGCAGAGCTTGCAGTGAGCCGAGATCACACCACTGCACTCCAGCCTGGGTGACAGAGCGAGACTCTATCTCAAAAAAAAAAAAAAAAAGGAAAAATTAAATGAAATACTAAAAATGTTCATATATTCAAAAGAAGGCATAAAGGGGAACAAGAATTTTTTTTTTTTTTGAGACAGAGTTTCGCTCTGTTGCCCAGGCTGGAGTGCTGTGGCACAATCTTGGCTCACTGCAACCTCCACTTCCTGGGTTCAAGTGATTCTCCTGCCTCAGCCTCCTGAGTAGCTGGGAATACAGGCCCATGCCACAATGCCTGCCTAATTTTTTGTATTTGTAGTAAGGATGGGGTTTCACCATGTTGGCCAGGCTAGTCTCAAACTCCTGACCTCAGGTGATCTACCTGCCTCAGCCTCCCAAAGTGCTGGGATTACAGGAGTGAGCCACCACCCCCAGCCTAGAATTTAAAACCAAAATTTAAAAAGAAAAAAGAAAATCATTGCCATGAACCTAAACCTGCTCTAAAAAGTTTATTTAATAAAATAAAACAATAGCCTTCATTCAAACATATCAATAAATATAGTAATTGTAAAGTCTTAAGACTACCCATGAAAGGACAGAAATTGCCAGAGTGGGTTTTTTTAAAGATCCAATTTTATGCTACCAAAAAGAAACTCATTTCAAATATAATGGAATAGATAGGTTCAAAGAGAAAGAATGGGAAAAGGATATATCAGGAAAATAGTAATCAAAAGAAACCCAGAGTGGCTATATTAATAACAGACAAAGCATAGTTTAAAGCAAAGAGAATTACCACAGATAAAGAAGGACATTACGTAATGATAAAAGGGTCATTTACAAAGAGAACATAACAATCCTAAATGTATGTGCACCTAACAACAGAGCTTCAGAATACATGAAGCAAAACGGACAGAACTGAAAGGCAAAATAGACAAATCCGCAAATATAGAGACTTCAACACTCCTCTCTTAGTAGGAGACAGAAATCAGCAAGGATATAGAAGAACTGAACAATATCATTAACCAACCTGAGTTAATTGACATTTGTAGAAACTTTACCCAACCACAGCAGAATTCTTTTCAAGTGCAAATGGAATATTCACCAAAACCGTATCTTGGAACATGAAACAAACCTCAGCAACTATGAAAGATTGAATTCATATAAAATATGTTCTCTGACCAAAATGGAATTAGATTAGAAATCAAAGATAGAACCACAACAGAGAAATCTTAGAACAAACCCTTAGAAATTAAGCACGTATCTAAATAATTCATAGGTAAAAATGGATGTCTCAAGGGAAATTCAAAAACATTTTTAACTGAATGAAAATATAGTGTATTAAAATCTGTTGGATATACCTAAAACAATGCTTAAATGAGTAATTTATATCAAAACATCACATTGTACCCCATAAATAGATACAATTATCTCTTGTCAAGGAAAATCTTTTATTTTTGAGAAGAAACTTGCAGTATTCTTACATTAGGAAGATCTCAAATCAATCATTGAAATTTCACATTAAGAAACTAGGGAAAGAGGAGCAAAATAGACCCAAAGCAAACATAAAGAAGGAAATGATAAAAAATAAGTGTGGAAATATCAACGATGTTGAAAACAGAAAATGATAGAGAACGTCAATGAAACCAAAAGCTGTTTCTTTAGAAAGATCAATACAATTGACAAATCTCTAGCGATACTGACAAAGAACAAAAGAGAGAAAACACAAAGGTCAAGAATGAAAGTGGGGATATCACGAGAGATCTGCAGACATTAAAAGGGTGATAAGGCAAGGCTATAACAACGCTACACACATAAATTTGACAACTGAGGCAAAAGGGACCAATTCCTTGAAAGCAACTAACTTCCAAAACTTACCTTAGGTGAAATAGATAACCTAAATAGTCCTATAACCGTTAAAGACCTTGAATTTATCATTTCAAATCTTAGAAAAAGAAATCTCCAGGAAGAGATGGTTTACTGGTAAATTCTACCAATCATTTAATGAAGAAATAACACAATTCTATACTGTCGCTTTCAGAAAATAGAAGAGGTTTGGTTTTTTGAAATCAAAACCAGACAAAGACAAACAGACCCATGTTCCATATGAACAAAAATCTTTAGCAAAATATAGTAAATAAAATTCAGCAGTATATATAGGTTATAGATTATAGATAAAGGTATAGAGAGATATACCACGACCAAGTGGGGTTTATCCTGGGGATGCAAGACTGGTTTACTATTTATAAATTAATCAATATAATCTATCACACTAACAGTGTAAAGAAGAAAAGCATCACAGCAATTGATGCAGAAAAAGCATTGAACAATAGGTAAGAAAGGAAGTCTCAAGGGAAATTTAACATCCATTCGTGATAAAACTCCTCACAAACTAGGTACAGAAGGGAACTTCCCCAATCTGATAAAGGGCATTTTCACAAAACCTACCGCTAATATCATATTTAATGGTAAAAGACTGAATATTTTCTCCCTAAGATCAGGAACAAGTTGACTGTCCATTCTCAACCCTCCTATCAGTATCCTACTGGAAGTCCTAGCCAGTGCAATAGGCTGGAAAAAAAAAAAAAAAAAAAAAGTGAGGGGGTGGTGAGAGGAAGGGAAGCCTACAGATTGGAAGGCAAGAACTAAAACTGTCTGTTTACAGACAACATGATAATTTTCTACCTAGAAAATCCAAAGGGGGAAGAAAACCTAGAATTAATGCATAGGTTTCTACAGACGCCAGGATACAAAGTCAACAATCAATTGTATTTCTCTGTGCTAGCTATGAACAATTGGTAGCCAACATCTAAAATACAATGCTGTTTGCTATAGCTACTCCCAGCCCCCCAAAGATACTTAGGTATGAATCTAGCAATCTGTGTGCAGTATCTGCGTGCTGAAAACTATGAAATGAAATTCTGATGAAAGAAATCAAAGGAGACCCAAGTAATCATAGCGACACACTGTATTCATGGATTGGAAGACTCAACGTAGTAAAGGTATTAGTTCTCCCAAAATTAATCTACATATGTAATGCAGTTCCCATAAAAATCCCAGCAGGATTTTTTTGTGGAAATATATAAAGTAATTCTAAAATGTATATAGAAAGGCAAAGGAACTAGAATAGCTAAAAACATCAAAATGTGAGTAATAATAAACATAAATCTATTTATGACAATTCACACCGGTAAAAAGTTCCTTAATGCGGTGAGGGGAGCTTGTTGATCAAATGTGGAAGGGCTGTCTGGCTTTGAGTTGCTTGGGGTAATACAGAGAGGGCAGTTCCATTTTCAGCTTTGAGAATCTGAGGCTGCCGCCTGGGTCTGCCCCACATGGCTGCCTGTGAAAGGCCACCTGGCTCTTGGCCTGTGGCCCCTCCAGTTACACGCCCAGGCCGTGGATCCTAGGGGTGACATCAGAGTTGGGACCTGGAGTGCCAGTGCACTGGGTGCAAATGTCCTCCCTCTGGGACTCAGTTTCTCCACTGCCCAGCCCAGCTGGATTTTTACCCTGCTGCTTTGAGAACTCAGGAGCCAATGCCACATCCATGGCCCAGGAAGATGGGGATTGCAAAGTGGCTAGAGACAAGCAGACAATGTCGTGATTTTCAGCGAGGGAGGCAGGGCCTGTGAGTAGGAAGCCAAAGAGCTGGTGGCTTCAGACAGTGCTCACACCCCCTCTGCAGGCCAGTGCTAGACAACCCAGGACCTTCCTGTCCCAGGCTTGCTAGCTCCGTGGGGGACATGAGGCCACCCTGAAGGTCAGTGATCAGACAGGACCTCATCTATGGTCATCCATCCACTCACTGATGAATTTGTCTCAAACTTGCTTTGGGATACCCACCACGTGCCCAGCACATCCCAGGCCCTGGGGGCACTGCCATGGGTATGGAGACCCTGTCCCAAGGCTCCTGGCCTTGCGGGGAGGCAGAGAAGAGACAGGAGAACCTCAGTCGGTGACAGGGGCTGTGAGAAAGTAGCCCCAGCGATGTGATGTGGAGGGACGCCCCTCCCGCAGGTGGGTCTGTGTGACCTGGCCTGAGACTGTCTGGCGAGCTGAATGGGGGCGGGGGCGTCAGCCACGCGCAGGAGGGAGGGGGCTCCCGGCAGAGATGGGCGCGAATGCGCAGCCACAGCGGTGTTCCAGGAGCCGCGGGGCTGGGGAGGCGAGGCTGCACCTGCTCCCCCTCTCGGGCTCGGCCTGGCGTCCTGCAGCGCCGCCCTCACAGCCCCGGATCCCAGTCAGTGCAGACATCTGCCCTCCCTGGGCTGGCGTCCAGGACCACAGAGCTCGCGTCAGGTCCTCAAGACGCCACGGCGATGGCCCCGGCCCCATCAGGTCCACACAGGTGAGCCACATTCTGGGCAGTTCCCCCCTGGCTGCCGTGGCTCCTCGTGTCGCCGGGGCTGCCGCAGGGCTGCGCGGGGCTAGGGCCAGTTCTTGCCACCTCCGCTTTCCAGGGAGGAAACCACCTCAGTCTCCTTGCCTCGGAGCCCACTCACCTCCCAAAAGACACTCTGGAAGCGGGGCGGAGGGAGTCCCTCTCCTGCCCACTGCAGCCCACGTCCTCAGGGCCTCCCTGCACCTTCTTCCTCTCCCCCAAATCTGGGAAATGTTTTTCTAGTCTGGGGGCTGTGGGGGAACTTTGCGTTTATCCCAGGTACATCAATCTCCAAGGTCCAGAAGAAGAGTCCCATTTTTCTCTGCTCTCTGCCACCACTTCCTCCCCCAGGTCCTGAGCACAGGCTGGCCTGTGTGAATGGGGAAATGGGCCCCTATGTTTAGTGATGGGCCCCTTCCCGGCCTCTCTTTGCACCCACAACTTCCAGGGCTGTGCCAAATGCAGTCACACGCCACTTCCTCAGTTTTCTGTCGTCTGTCTTGCTGACACGTTTCCCTAATATTGCCACATTGTGTTATACTGTAAACACAGATGCTCTAAAGGTGCGTGCAAAAATCAGCATTCGGAGGAAAGTGCCTTCGAGCACTTGTAGGACGCATTTATGAGTTTATATACCAGGGGTCTGCCTGGTTTTACAGGGACGTTCTCAAGCTGTGCATGGCTTCTTGCTGATGTGAGACCCTTACTGGAGAAATACTCTTCTGCTTGCTGTTTTCTCCACTGGGCACCTATCTAGAAGTTAATTTTGTATTTTTCAGCTTTAAAAGTTTTCCTAATACTGATGACATGCATATTGTGTGTGGCCTACTGAGATTCGGAGCCAATTTTCCTTCCCAGAGGCAAAGCTGACAGTGTGGTAGGAATGATGCTGGGCATTAGGATAGAAATGGGTGCGTGCAGTTCGGGGGGCTTTGCCTTGGGGAGCCAGGTGGAATGACCCCAAGTGGGGGAGTGATGGTCAGTGTATGTCACCAACAGAGGGGACACCCTCTGCAGCGTGGAGCCCACCTCTTGTGCACAACCTGGAGAAAGGTCTCTAGGCTCACAGGGCGACATGCCCAGGCACCTGGAGCAGAGGGTGTCCAGTCTGGAGGCCCCAGAGGCCAACTGCACATGGAAGGTGAGTGGGTGCCTTGACTCGGACCCTGGAGGCCTCAGGGACCCCTGGCTACTCCTCAGGTCCAGAAAGAGCCAAATGGCTTCTTGTAGGAGGGGCTTGGGAGGGGCGCTCTACTGAGTCACCAGGAACAGACGAGATTTGCAGGAAACACCTCCAAGTTAGCAAAGAAGTGGCATCCAGAGAGACCTTTCCACTGGTGCACCTTCCGTGGGATAAACAAGGCCATAGGTGAGCAGCCATGAGCCCTGGAGGCAGGAGTATCCCCTGGGGCAAATTTTTGGTATCAAGATTCTACAAGCAGGGCTAACTTCGAGTGCAGCTAGATTCAGGATCCAAACAATGTGCTCGAAGCTTGGCTTCCTGCCCCCACGTGTTGGCTGGGCAGCCACGGCAGCTCACATTCATCTGCTCGGCCTCCAGTCCCGCTGGCAAGAGAGCATCAGGAGGGCTGGCTGAACACTTGGCCCCTCCTGAAACCTCAATGAAGTACACCCGTGGGACTTTTGTCAAAATAAACAAACAAAATGAAAGCAAGTGGGTAAGTAACCAATGATAGAGCAGACCTCAGAAAGCCAAATCCCCAGCCTGTGGATCAGTTAAGGGGGTGCTCCCAACTTCAGGATCAGAGTTCCCCCAAATGGCCTACCTAGATCTCCCCACTGCGAGCTTGTCCGCAGCCCCATCATCTCTCTTGAAGCATTCAGTCAGTCTCAGTCTCTATGTGGTGGCCAAGGAGTCCCAGACATCTGAGTGGATGCTTCCAGCATGGCAGACGGAGAGCAGGGCAAATAAGGAAAAAAGGCAAATTGGAGGAAACAAAAAGGCAGCGCAGGAAGAAGAAAACTTTAAATAAAACTTGTTAAGGCCGGGCACGGTGGCTCATGCCTGTAATCCCAGCGCTTTGGGAGGCTGAAACAGGTAGATTGCTTGAGCTCAGGAGTTTGAGACCACCCTGGGCAACATGGTGAAATCCCATCTCCACTCAAATACAAAAAATTAGCCGGGCGTGGTGGTGCACGCCTGTACTCCCAGCTACTCGGGAGGCTGAGGCAGGAGAATCGCTTGAACCTGGGAGGCAAAGGTTGCAGTGAGCCGAGATCGCGCCGTTGCACTCCAGCCTGGGCAACAGAGTGAGATTCTGCCTCAAAAAAAAAAATTAATTAAAAAATTAAAAAAAAACTTGTTACTAATGTTCTCAGAGAGGTAAGAGAAGATATTACATCTCTGAAAAAAAGAACAAAAAGTAGCATTCAAAGGACAAAAAAAAAGACCTCATAGAAATTAATAATACATCAGCAGAAATAAAAGATTTAGAAGATAAAATTGAAATGCTTTCAGAAAGTAGAGCACGAAGATTTTGTAATGGAAAGTAGGAGAGAAAATATTTTTTAAATTGGAGGACAAGTCCAGGGGGTCCAAAAATGAGTGCTAAGAATTCTAGACAGAGAAAATGAAGGAGAGGAAACCATCTGTGAAATGATTTAAGAAAGTTTTCCAGCACTGAAGGGCACGAGATTCCAGCCCGTGAGACTGGAAAGTGCTCCACACGAGGGACATAGAAAGGCCCGTGTCAAGGTGCGTCCTTGTGAAATTTCAAAAGACTTGGGACTAGGGTGACCAACTGGCTTTGTTTACCTGGGACTGAGGGGTTTTTCTTGGGATACGGGATTTTCAGTACTAAAACTAGGACAGTCCCAGGCAAACCAGCATGACAGGTCACCCTACGGGAACAAAGAAAATTCTACAAAGTTAAGAGAGAAGCCAGAAAACAATGCCTTCAAAATTGTGAAGACAAACGAGCACAGATCTAGAATTCTATGCCTTGCTGAACTATAAACTACACTAGCAAGTGTGAGTAAAATGAGAACGTTTACAGGCATGTGAGATCTTAAACATTTACTTCCTAAGCACCTCTTCTCAAAAAGCTACTAGAGTATGTGCTCCATTAAAATGAAAGACCAACCCAAGAAAGAAGACTTTAAATACAGGAGACGGGAGCCCAACACATAAAGGAGAAGGAATCTCTTGGAGGATGGTGAAAGGTGATCTCAGTGTAACAGCTTCGTACCACATCCAGAGGGCAACTGAGCCCCACTGCAGCAGCGTGAGCTAGGAAGTAGATGATCATCACCAAGACCCCCACTCCCTTCAAGCCATCTTTTAAAAAAATGGGCTTTATTTTTTAGAGCAGTTTTAGGTTCGCAGCGAAACTGAGCAGAAAGTAGAGATTTCCCACATCCCCCTGCCTCCACACATGCAGAGCCTCCCCCATTATCGACGTCACCCACCAGAATGGTATGTTTGTTACAGCTGATACACCTACATTGCTACATCATTATTACCCAGAGTGCATAGTTCACCTTAGGGGGTCATGCTTGGTGTTGTACATTCTATGGGTTTTGACAATAATGTCACATATCCACCATTATAGTATCAGGCAGAATAGTTTCACTGCCCTAGAAATCCTCTGTGTTTCACCTATTCCTCCCTCCCCACTAAACCTGGAAACCATTGGTCTTTCTACTGCCTCCATAAATGTTCATGTTCCAGAATGTGATCTAGTTGGAATCATGCAGTCTTTTCAGATTGGCTTCTTTTGCTTAGTAATATGCATTTACATTTTCTCCACGTCTTTTCATGGCTTGATACTTCATTTTTGTTGTTTTTTTTTTTTTGAGACGGAGTTTTGCTCTTGTTGCTGAGACTGGAGTGCAATGGCGCAATTTCGGCTCACTGCAACCTCCGCCTCCTGGGTTCAAGCAATTCTCCTGCCTCAGCCTCCCAAGTAGCTGGGATTACAAGCATGCGCCACCATGCCCGGCTAATTATGTATTTTTTTTTTTAGTAGAGACAGGGTTTCTCCATGTTGGTCAAGCTGGTCTCGAACTCCCGACCTCAGGTGATCCGCCCACCTCGGCCTCCCAAAGTGCTGGGATTACAGGCGTGAGCCACTGCACCCAGCCCTGATACTTCATTTCTTTTTAGCACTTGGATGGATGTACCACAGTTTATTTACCCACTCACCTGCAGAAGGACATCTTGGTTGCTTCCAAGTTTGGGCAATTATGATAATACTGCTAGAAACACCTGTGTGTAGGTTTTTATGTGGACATAAATTTTCAACTCTTTTGGGTAAATACCAAGAAATGAGATTGCTAGATTATATGGTAAGAGTATGTTTAGTTTTGTAAGAAACTGCCAAGCTGCATTGCAAAGCGCCTGTACTGTATTGCCCTCTCACCAGCAATGATGAGAATTCCTGCTGCTCCCCTTCCTTACCAGCATTTGGTGGTGACAGTGATCTGGATTTTGACCACTCTAGTAGGTGTGTAGTGGTATCTTGTTCTAATTTGCATTTCCCTGATGACATATGATGTGAAGCACCTTTGTAAATGCTTATTTTCCGTCTTATATCTTCTTTGGTCAGGTGCCTGTTAAGGTCTTTGTCTCCTTTATTAATCAGGTTGTTTGTTTTCTTATTATTAAGTTGTAAGATTTCTTTGTATGTTTTATTTTATTTACTTTTTTTTGAGACAGGGTCTCACTCTGGTTGCCCAGGCTGGAGTGCAGTGGTACGATCTCGGCTTACTGCAGCCTCAACTTCCTGGGTTCAGGTGATCCTCCCACCTCAGCCTCCCAAGTAGCTGGGACTGCAGATGCACGCCACCATGCCCAGCTAATTTTTTAGTAATTTTTAGTAGAGACAGGATCTCACCATGTTGCCCAGGCTGGTCTTGAACTGCTGGACTCAAGCACTCTGCATGCTCAGCTTCCCAAAGTGCTAGGATTACAGGTGTGAGCCACCATGCCTGGCCCTTTATATATTTTCGATAACAGTTCTTTATCACAGAGGTCCAGCGCTTGGTTCCCACCTCGGCCCTGCCAGGCACCAACTGTGCTGAGCCCAGTGTTTCCGAAGACTCCCTTTCAACCCTGCTCACGACTTCCCCCGGAGGGGCCTTGTCAGCTCCCAGAGAAGCGGGAATCAGACCACAGCCTGGAGACTGATCCGCTCACCTCCTGGAGCCTCCGTCCAGCAGGGGCAGTGCCGTCCTCTCCTTGCACCATCAGCATGCACCTGCCCTCTGCTGTCAAACTAGGCAGGGTATTTGGGGATAAATACACAGGTGGAACTACAAAGAAAAGTAAGGGAACAATTAGCACAAAAGTCAGCATGGTCTTGTCTAGAGGTTAGGGGGATGAGGAGTGGGACCGGTTGAGGAAGATGCATTAGGGATTTTAAGGTACTGGTAACGCTCTTTTTATTAGCCTGGGTCCTGGGAACAGATGTTCATGCTGTAATAATAATAATAGTAATTGTCTCGAAGCAAAGCCCAGGCTTTGCTCTAATTGGATAACCTGGTCACTTGCTTGCTCAGCAGTGAGGGGGGGACAGTGCCCTCTTGGCCAGGACTCCGGTTCCCACCCTGACTCAGGCTTCAGCCAACGGGGAGAAGTTCCTGAAGGGAAGGCAGCATGCGGGTTGGGAGGTGAAACAAACCCCTTCACTGTGGCTTGGGGAGTGACTGGGCTGTGCCTCTCCTTGTAGAAGTATGTTCTCAGGACGTAATTGAGAACGTGGGCCAAGAGTAAGGGACAGGATGGAAGACGGAGCGGGAGAGAGGCTGACTTGCCCTCTTGGGAGAGCTCTATATTTAGTGGCCAATCTGCCGTGGGTCTTGGTGCTGTCGCCTCGCATCCAACAGATTGCCTGCAAGCCGGGCCCTGAGCAATCAGAAACAAGAGCTTCCTGAGGGAGACAGCGGGATCTGTCAGCAGGAGTTGAAGGCCATATGGAGCCCAAAAATAACTCAGGCCAATCCTCCCCTCACAGCCAAGCGCGTTGCCCTCCTGAAGGCAAGGCCAGGTGCATTCTCAGCCTCCGCAAGCAGATCTGGGCTCGGCCTAGGGAGGCTGCAGTTCCCCCACAGCGTCCCTTCAGACATCAGGGAGCAGGCAGGAGTCCTTCATGGGACCCAAATGGAAATGAAATGTGTGTCCAGGCTCCAGGCTCTTCCAAGGAGAGAGAAAAGGAGGACCACAGAGGCTTTCAGAGCCTAGACGTGATGCTACCACTGCTCGGGGCAGCCAGACATGAGCTAGCATAGTCCAGACCCATACTCAGGGTTGGGGGCTTTCCTCCCTTGAGGTTTCTGTGCAAGGTGGGGAAGGGCTGGGCTGTGGTCTGAGGCCTCTCCTTCAGCTCAGTCCATCAGGGCTGCCCAGAAGCTCCCTGCCTCCTGGAGGCTTCCAAGAGTCACACTGTGGCTTCAAGTACTCAGGTTGTCCCCCAGCTCCCAGTGCCAGCACCTGGCTTTCCTGCTGAACCTTCAGGCCAAGTCTGTCTTCCACTCAGGCTGTACCAATTCCCCCTCAAAGGTCCAGGGCCAGGAGCTGGGCCTGGAGTCAAGAGTCCAGGGTGGGCCGGGCGTGGTGGCTCATGCCTGTAATCCCAGCCCTTTGGGAGGCTGAGGCGGGTGGATCACGAGGTCGGGAGATCGAGACCATCCTGGCTAACACAGTGAAACCCTGTCTCTACTAAAAATACAAAAAAAATGGGCAGGCGTGATGGTGGGTGCCTGTAGTCCCAGCTACTCGGGAGGCTGAGGCAGGAGAATGGCGTGAACCTGGGAGGCAGAGCTTGCAGTGAGCTGAGTTTGCACCACTGCACTCCAGGCTGGGCGACAGAGCGAGACTCCATCTCAAAAAAAAAAAAAAAGAGTCCAGAGTCCAGCCCAGTCCACCAGTCAGCAGCTGGTAACTTGTCCACCCCACTTTACCCTTGAGGGTCCGGGTTTATTCAACTGTAAAGTGGGTAGTCATTTCCCTATGGTCATTTTAAGGATTAAGTGACACTGACATATGAGAACAAAAGACACTGAAGAATGATAGAGTGTATTTCTTCTTTAACTTAAGTCCCTGGAGTTCAGAACCTGTCCGGGTAAGGTGGAGCAGGTGCCTCACCCAGGAGCCTTGGAAACAGTGCTGAGTTCAGCTCCCTATCCCTTAAGGGGACAGGGACTGTCCCTGTTCCTGAAGAAGCCAGCAGAGGTAGTCCCAAGCAAAGAGGCCCATTTGACCCTTGCAACAGTGCCCGGGGCCAGCTGAGGCTCCAGACACCTGCCCAGGGGGTAGACCTGTCCTGGGCCCTGTAAGAAAACTTAGAATTCCGGCCTCTTCTCGGAGCTTCTGGGCGCCCTTCACAGAGAGAAGTAAAACTGAACAGAATCGTGGACTCTGAGAAGGCCCAGGGCTGGTCAGTTCTCTCTCATGGCAGGAGAAGGAATAAGACATAAACATCCTGGGGCTTCTGGGACACATGCTGACCAGGGGCCACATGGCCCCAGCCCCTCCCAACAAACCAACATTTGGGTTTGGAGTACGGGGACTGGGAACATCACCCCAGAGGGGCTTTCAGCTCTGTTTCCAGAGCACACCTCACCCTGATGGAGAGATAGAGCAATATAAGATACTTATTCTTACCAGTATTGTTTCTGCTAGCAAGTTCTGTCCAATGCATTATGACAAGAAAAGGGAGAAAATTTAACCACCAGAAGGGAAAAGATGAAATTACCATTAATTGTAGACATGATTGACTTCTGCAAACTCCAAGGCTATTAGAACGAATAAGATGCTATACAAAGCCATATACAAAACACAGTAGCAATAGCCAGTTAAAGATGTAATGAAGAGAAGTCAGGGAAGACGGTGGAGTAATGAGAAGAAGTCAGGGAAGACGGTGGAGTAGCAGGCATCAGGATTCCATCTCTCCATGTAGATGACAAATGAACTGGCAGAATCTGTCTGATATGACTATTTTGAAATTCTGGAGTCTATTTGAAAGCTTGCAGCTCCAGAGGAGGGCTTGGATAGTAAATCATGGTGAATTCTGGTCAATTCCAGCTCTTAACATGGTAGCAGCTAGCTATCCCCCACCCCCAAATCCCATGGCAGGCTGTGCATGTGTTTGTGGAACAGCTTACACACAGCCTGTGGGAGCCAGGGTGGGCCATAAAGACCTTGCACTCCAAATATCAATATCAGGGATCTGTGTTCTGCTGCCTCTGAGCACGGATGTGCAGACACAGAGGTGGGCCCCCATTGTATAATCTCCACTTGGTGAAAAGGCTTCCATGGGATTTAAAGAGCCAGAAACTTTAAATTCCCCACTACCTCCCCTTTAATTGTTCCCATTTTCCCCATTTGGGAGCCAGGCATTTAAGGACTAGAACATTCAAAAGCAGTAACATATGGGGACGTTTATAAAGGTACTGCAATTTCCCTGGGAAAGGTACAGCCTCAAAAAAGACCCAAGAAGACTTACCATTTATACCTTATGCTGATCCCAGTACAGAGGCAACCTATAACTTTTTTTTTTTTTTTTTTTTTTTGAGATGGGGTTTTGCTCTTGTTGCCCAGGCTGGAGTGCAGTGGCGCAATCTCGGCCCACTGCAACTTCCGCCTCTCGGGTTCAAGCAGTTCTCCTGCCTCGGCCTCCTGAGTAGCTGGGATTACAGGCGCTGCCACCACGCCCAGCTAATTTTTTGTATTTTTAGTAGAGACAGGTTTTCTTTCTTTTTTTTTTTTTAATTATACTTTAAGTTCTAGGGTACATGTGCATAACGTGCAGGTTTGTTACATATGTATACATGTGCCATGTTGGTGTGCTGCACCCATTAACTCGTCATTTAACGTTAGGTATATCTCCTAATGCTATCCCTCCCCCCTCCCCCCACCCCACAACAGGCCCCGGTGTGTGATGTTCCCCTTCCTGTGTCCATGTGTTCTCATTGTTCAATTCCCACCTATGAGTGAGAACATGCAGTGTTTGGCTTTTTGTCCTTGCGATAGTTTGCTGAGAATGATGGTTGCCAGCTTCATCCATGTCCCTTCAAAAGACATGAACTCTTCATTTGTTATGGCTGCATAGTATTCCATGGTGTATATGTGCCACATTTTCTTAATCCAGTCTATCATTGTTGGACATTTGGGTTGGTTCCAAGTCTTTGCTATTGTGAATAGTGCCGCAATAAACATATGTGTATCTTAATAGCAGCATGATTTATAACCCTTTGGGTATATACCCAGTAATGGGATGGCTGGGTCAAATGGTATTTCTAGTTCTAGATCCCTGAGGGATCGCCACACTGACTTCCACAATGGTTGAACTAGTTTACAGTCCCACCAACAGTGTAAAAGTGTTCCTATTTCTCCACATCCTCTCCAGCACCTGTTGTTTCCTGACTTTTTAATGATCGCCATTCTAACTGGTGTGAGATGGTATCTCATTGTGGTTTTGATTTGCATTTCTCTGATAGCCAGTGATGATGAGCATTTTTTCATGTGTCTTTTGGCTGCATAAATATCTTCTTTTGAGAAGTGTCTGTTCATATCCTTCGCCCACTTTTTGATGGGGTTGTTTGTTTTTTTCTTGTAAATTTGTTTGAGTTCATTGTAGATTCTGGATATTAGCCCTTTGTCCGATGAGTAGATTGCAAAAGTTTTCTCCCATTCTGTAGGTTGCCTGTTCACTCTGATGGTAGTTTCTTTTGCTGTGCAGAAGCTCTTTAGTTTAATTAGATCCCATTTGTCAATTTTGGCTTTTGTTGCCATTGCTTTTGGTGTTTTAGACATGAAGTCCTTGCCTATGCCTATGTCCTGAATGGTATTGCCTAGGTTTTCTTCTAGGGTTTTTATGGTTTTAGGTCTAACATTTAAGTCTTTAATCCATCTTGAATTAATTTTTGTATAAGGTGTAAGGAAGGGATCCAGTTTCATCTTTCTACATATGGCTAGCCAGTTTTCCCAGCACCATTTATTAAATAGGGAATCCTTTCCCCATTTCTTGTTTTTGTCTGCTTTGTCAAAGATCAGATAGTTGTAGATATGCAGCATTATTTCTGAGGGCTCTGTTCTGTTCCATTGGTCTATATCTCTGTTTTGGTACCAGTACCATGCTGTTTTGGTTACTGTAGCCTTGTAGTATAGTTTGAAGTCAGGTAGCATGATGCCTCCAGTTTTGTTCTTTTGGCTTAGCATTGACTTGGCAATGCGGGGGTCTTTTTTGGTTCCATATGAACTTTAGAGTGGTTTTTTCCAATTCTGTGAAGAAAGTCATTGGTAGCTTGATGGGGATGGCATTGAATCTATAAATTACCTTGGGCAGTATGGCCATTTTCACAATATTGATTCTTCTTACCCATGAGCATGGAATGTTCTTCCATTTGTTTGTATCCTCTTTTATTTCATTGAGCAGTGGTTTGTAGTTCTCCTTGAAGAGGTCCTTCACATCCCTTGCAAGTTGGATTCCTAGGTATTTTATTCTCTTTGAAGCAATTGTGAATGGGAGTTCACTCATGATTTGGCTCTCTGTTTGTCTGTTATTGGTGTATAAGAATGCTTGTGATTTTTGCACATTGATTTTGTATCCTGAGACTTTGCTGAAGTTGCCTATCAGCTTAAGGAGATTTTGGGCTGAGACGATGGGGTTTTCTAGATATACAATCATGTCATCTGCAAACACGGACAATTTGACTTCCTTTTTTCCTAATTGAATACCCTTTATTTCCTTCTTCTGCCTGATTGCCCTGGCCAGAACTTCTAACACTATGTTGAATAGGAGTGGTGAGAGAGGGCATCCCAGAGACAGGGTTTCTCCATGTTGAGGCTGGTCTCGAACTCCTGACCTCAGGTGATCCGCCTACCTCAGCCTCCCAAAGTGCTAGGATTACAGGTGTGAGCCACAGCACCCAGCCAACATTTTTTTTTTTTTAATCCCTGGGGAAGGAGGAGAATCTGATTTCAAGAGTTGCCACATTGCAAGAGTCAAATGTCCAGTTTTCTACAAAATAAATACCACAAGGCATATAAAGAAACAGGAAAACATGGATCATTTGAAGGAAAAATAAGTAAATCAACAAAAACTGTCCCTGAGAAAGACTACATGACAGACTTATTAGACAAAGGCTTTGAAACAACTGTCCTAAAGATGTGCAAAGACGTGAAGTAGCAGTCAAGAAAAAGATGTATGAACAAAATGGAACTATCAATAAAGAGACAGAAAAACATACAAAGGAACCAAAAATAAATTTTGGAGCTATAAAGTACAATAACTGAAATGAAAAATTCACTAGAGGTATTCAAAAGCAGATCTGAGGAGGTCAAAGAAAGAATCAGCAAACTTGAAGATAGGGCAATTGAAATTATTGAGTCTGAGGAACAGGAAAATAAAAAAGATTGAAAAAGTGAACAGAACCTACAGGACCTAAGCAATACCATAAAGCAGACCAACATACACTTTGTGAGAGTCCCAGAAAAAGAAGGGAGAGAAAGGTATAGAGAGATTATCTGAATAATTAATGGCTGAAAACTTCCCAAATTTGATGAAAAACATGAATATAAACATCCAGGAAACCCAGTGAACCAAGTAGGATAAACTCAAAGAGACCCACAGTGAGACACATTATAATCAAACTGGAAAATACAACAACAAATAGAGAATATTGAGAGCAGCAAGAAAGAAGTGAGTCATCACATAAAAGGGGTCCTCGGCTGGGCGCAGTGGCTCACGCCTGTAATCCCAGCACTTTGGGAGGCCGAGGCGGGTGGATCGAGAGGTCAAGAGATGGAGACCATCCTGGCCAACATGGTGAAACCCCATCTCTACTAAAAATACAAAAATTAGCTGGGCGTGGTGGTGCATGCCTGTAGTCCCAGCTACTTGGGAGGCCGAGGCAGGAGAATCGCTTGAACCAGGGAGTTGGAGTGCATTGCAGTGAGCCAAGATTGTGCCACCACACTTCAGCCTGGTGACAGAGCTAGACTCTGTCTCAAAAAACAAAACAAAACAAAACAAAAACTGATCCTCAGTAAGATTATCAAGAAATTTCCCACGGAAACCTTAGAGGCCTTGGCGGGCACAGTGGCTCACACCTATAACCTGTAATCCCAGCACTTTGGGAGGCTGAGGTGGGCAGATCATGAGGTCAGGATATTGAGACCATCCTGGCCAACATGGTGAAACTCCGTCTCTACTAAAAATACAAAAATTAGCTGGGCGTGGTAGTGTGTACCTGTAGTCCCAACTACTTGGGAGGCTGAGGCAGGAAAATCACTTGAACCCAGGAGGCAGAGTTTGCAGTGAGCCGAGATTGTGCCATTGCACTCCAGCCTGGTGACAGAGCAAGACTCTGTCTCAAAAAAAAAAAAAAAAAAGAAAAAAAAAGAAAAGAAAAAGTAGAAAAGAAACCTTAGAGGCCAGAAGGCAATCGGTTGATGTATTCAAAATGCTGAAAGTAAAAAAACCTGTCAACCAAGAATCCTATGTATGGCAAAACTGTCCTTCAAAAATGAGTACAAAGTTAAGACATTCCTAGATAAACAAGAATCGAAGAAAGTCACTACCGCAAGGCCTACCTAGGAGAAATACTAAATGAAGTGCTTCAGGTTGAAATGAAAGACACTAAAGAGTAATTCAAAGCTGTGTTAACAAAAATATCTGGTAAAGATTTATCCATGGGCAATTATAAAAGCTGGTATTATGATAACTGATTTGTAACTCTACCTTTTTTTTACATGATTTAAGAGACTAATACATTAAGAAAATAAGTATTAAGTCTGTGCTTTTGAACATAATAAAAATGTAATTTTGTGACATCAGTAACTAACAGGGTGGGGACAGAACTGTATAGGAGCAGAGTTTTTGAATGCTACTGAAGTTAAACTGGTCTAAATTCAAATTAGAGTGTTGTAACTTTAGGATGTTAAATGTAATTCCCATGGTTGCCACAAAGAAAGTAGCTATAGGATATACACAAAAGGAAACAAGAAAGGAATTAATGTTTCACCACAAAAAAAGAACACAGTACTGCAGGAAATAAGGAACAAAAAGATACAAGGCAATAGAAAAAAAAAAACAGCAAAATGGCAGGAGTAAATCCTGTCTTAACAGTTATTATTTAAAAAGGAAATAGATTACACTCTCTAGTCAAAAGACAAAGATTGGCAGAATGGATTTTTTAAAAAAGATCCAACTATATATTGTCCACAAGAGATTCATTTTAGATCCAAAGTCATAAATAGGTTAAACATGAAGGGACTGAAAAAGATACTCCATGTAAACAGTAACAAAAAGAGAGTGGGAGCAGCCATACTAATAACAGAAAAAATACTTTAAATTTTAAAGGATTACCAGAGACAAAGAAGGGTATCACATATCAATGAAAATTTAATATAGCAAGAAGACTTAACAATTATAAACATTTATGACCCCAAAACAGGTCATTAAAATATATGAAGCAAAAATGGGCAGAATTGAAAGGAGAAATGGACAGCTCTATAGTAATAGTCAGAGACTGCAATACCTCACTCTCCAGTCTAATGCTTTCCCAACTAAGCTATTTCAGCAGCTGCTACCTCACTCTCAATAATGGATAGAATGCCCAGACAGAAGATAAGTAAGGAAATAAAAGACTTACACAACACAATAAGCCAACTAGGTCTAACAGACATATACAGAACTCTACTCAACAACAACATACACAGTCTTCTAAAGTGCACGTGGGATATTCTCCAGGATAAACCATATGTTAGGACACAGATTAAGCCTCAATAAATTTTAAAAGAGAGATATCATATGAAGTATCCTCTCCAACTATGACAGGATGAAATTAGAAATCAATAATAGAAGGAAAACTGGAAAATTCACAAATTTGTGGAAAGTAAACAACACATTCTTAAACAACCTATGCATTGAAGAACAAGTCCCAAGGGAAATTCGAAAATACTTAGAGATGAATGAAAATGAAAACACAACATACTAAAACATGGGATACAGCAAAAACTGTCCTTAATGGAAAATTTATAGCTGTAAACACATTAAAAAAGAAGAAAGATCTCAAAATAACAACCTAATTGTACAATGTAAAGAGCTAGAAAAAGAGGAACAAACTAAACCCAAAGCTAGCAGAAGGAGGGAAATTATAAAGATTAGAGAAGAGATAAATAAAAGAGAATAGAAAAACAATAGAAAAAAATTTAAAAAGCCTAAAGTTGGTTCTTCAAAAAGATTAACAAAATTGACAAACCTTTAGCTAGACTGACTGAAAAAAAAGAGATGACTGAAGTTATTAAAATCAGAAATGAGAGTAGGGATACTATTACCAATTCACATAAATTAAAGGGATTATAAGAGTACTATAAAAAATTATATGCCAACAAATTGGAAATTTGAACAAATTGGAATTTCTAGATGAAATTCCTAGAAACTGAAATCATGAAAAAAAAATTAGAAACCGTAAATAGACCTATAACTAATAATGAGGTTTAATTAGTAATTAAAAGCCTTCCAACAACAAAAAAGTCCTGGACCTGGTGGTTTCACTGGTGAATTCTACCAAACATTTAAAAAAGAACCATCACCAATGCTTCTCAAACTTTTCCTAAAAATTAAAGAGGCAGAAACACTTCCTAACTCATTTTATGAGGTCAGCATCACCTTGATACCAAAGCCAGACAGAAGCACTACAAGAAGTAAACTACAGACCAATATCCCTTATGATGCAAACATCCTCAACAAAATACTAGCAAACCAAGTTCAGCAGCATATTAAAGAAAATTATACACCACAACCAAGGGAGGTTTATTCCTGGAATGCAAAGATGGTTCAACATACGAAAATCAATCAATGTAATACAATAGATTAACATGATGAAGGAAAAAACACATGATCATTTCAATTGATGAAGAAAAAAGCATTAAACAAAATTCAATGCCCTTTCATGACAAAAAAAAAAAGTACTCCAAAAACTGGAATAGAAGGAAACTACCTCAACATAATAAAAGTCACATATGAAAAACACATAGCTGGCCAAGCACAGTGGCTCATGCCTGTAATCCCAACACTTTGAACGGATCACTTGAGCTCAGGAGTTGGAAACCAGCCTGCGCAACATGGTGAAACCGTGTTAAAAGTACCAAAATACAAAATACAAAATGAGCCGGGTGTGGTGGCATGCACCTGTAGTCCCAGCTATTCATGAGGCTGAGACAGGAGAATCACTTGAACCTGGGAGGCAGAGGTTGCAGTGAGTCAAGATTGTGCCACTGCACTCCAGCCTGGGTGACAGAGCCAGACTCCATCTCAAAAAAACATTGGGGGAAAGCTTCATGATATTGGATTGGGCAGTGACTTTTTGGATATGATACCAAAGACACAGGCAACAAAAGACAAAAATAGACGAATTGGACTTCATCAAAATGGAAAACATTTGTGCCTCAAAGGACACTATCAACAAAGTAAAAAGATAACCTACCGAATAGGAGAAGATATTTACAAATCACATAGCTAATAAGGGATTGATATCCAGACTATCTAACAAACTCCTAAAACTCAAAAACAAACAAATCCCAAACAACTCAATTCAAAAATGGGTAAAAGAGGACTCTTGGGGCTAGCTGCCTCATGCCCCTGCAGAGGTCCCAGCAGCAGCCATGCTCGAAGCGTGAGCTCCAGTTCTGTGGGGCTTCTCCTCTGATCTGGGTCTTGAAACGCCACGGCTTCTCTTTTGTTCCTTAAATCTCAGGGGTGGGGTAATTACATCCTGTCACGGAACCAATTCTATGAATTAAATTTTCTTTGCTTGAAAAAAGTGGGGAAAAGTCTTGAACAGGCATTTTTCTAAAGAATATATACAAATGGCAAATGAAAAGATGCTCAAGATCACTGATATTTAGGGAAATGCAAATCCAAACCACAATGAGATACCACTTCCCACCCATTAGGATGGCCATTATCAAAAAAGCAGAAAACAACAAGCATTGTCAAGGATGTGGAGAAATTGGAACCCTTTACATTGCTGTTGGTAATTTTAAATGGTGCAGCGGGCCGGGCACGGTGGCTCACGCCTGTAATCCCAGCACTTTGGGAGGCTGAGGCGGGCAGATCACCTAAGGTCAGGAGTTTAAGACCAGCCTGGCCAACATGGTGAAACCCCATCTCTACTAAAACAAAAATTAGCCGGACACGGTGGTGGCACATGCCTGTAATCCCAGCTTCTTGAGAGGCTGAGGCAGGAGAATCGCTTGAACCCGGGAGGCAGAGGTTGCAGTGAGCTGAGATTGCACCACGGCACTCCAGCCTGGGTGACAGAGTGAGACCGTCTCAAAATAAAAATTAAAATAAAAATAAATAAAATGGTGCAGCTGCTGTGGAAAACAGTATGGTAAAGGGGGAAACAACCCCCACTGCCCACTGACAGATGAATAGATGAACAAAATATGGTATGTGCATGCAGTGGAACAGTATTCAGCCTTAAAAAGGAAGGAAATTCTGACGCATGTTACAACAGTGGTGCACCTTGACAAAGATGAATGAAATACGCCAGTCACTGAAGGACAAATGTTTTATGATTCCACTTATATAAGGTACCCAGAATGGTAAAAATACATAGAATGTAGAACTGTGGTTACCAGGGGCTGGGGAAGGAGAGGAGGAGAAATTGGGGAGTTAGTGTTTACTGGGTACAGGGTTTCAATTGATGATGAAAAACTTCTGTGGACGGACGGTGGTGATGCTTGTGCAACAGTGTGAATGTACTTAATGCCACTGAACTTTACACGGTAAATTTATGTTAAGTATATTTTTTTAATTTTTATTTTTTTGGTAGAGGCAGGGTCTTGCTCTGTCACCCAGGCTGGAGTGCAGTGGTGCAGTCACAGCTCACTGCAGCCTTGAATTCCTGGGCTCAAGCAATCCTCCCATCTCAGCCTCCCAAGTAGCTCGGACTACAGGTGTGTGACATTACGTCAACCTAATTTTTAAAAACTTTTTCTAGAGATGAGGGTCTCACTGTGTTGCCCAGGCTGGTCTCAAACTCTTGAGAATGTGTAAATGTGTAAAATTCTGCACATATTCAAGCAAGGGCAGAAAGGGCTCTGATTTGGGGCCGTGGACCCACCACAGCCTTTGAGGCTAAAGCAGTGGGACCATTTCCAGCAGCTGTTGGGACGTGGTTTCAGCTGCAGGGCTGGATGGGCAGGTAGAGGGTCGCCCCAGCTGCAGCCAGCACAGAAGCCATGGGGAACCATGGCGGTGCAGTTGGCAAGTCTTTTTGGCACACACAGAGCCTTGGTTAACAGCAGTTGCTGCCTGTGTTGTGGTCTGGCCCTAGCAGGTGGCGAGCTCCCCGTGGCGAGTGCTGGCCTTGGGGGTCCTTTCTCCACAGCAGGCACTGTGCGAGGTACTTCGTGCACCAGTCTCCATAACCTGAAGAGGGGGACTGCTCCCTCTTCTCAGAGCTCACAGGTGTCTTCCTGAGACACGCGCGTGGTCCTCACAGGGGCCTTCGGGAGCCTTCTTTACCTCTGTCCCTTCTGCCACACCTGGCCCAGGGAGAACATCCCTCCAGCCCCCAGGACGCGCTCTGACCAGCCACCTGCTTTTCTTCTGCAAGTTCGATGGATTTCCATTTTGCAGATGTTTAATGCCAGCCACCCATGCTGAGGGATGTGGGGACCCCAGCAGGAACAGGGTCTGTAAACTGACCACCTTGGCACTACAGATGTCATTTCTAACTGTGCTTTAACTCACTGTGTGGCCCCATCAGTGGCTTTTTAAAAAAATAGAATTAATTGCCACCCTTACAATCACAATATGAAACGTAAGTCAGGAGTCCTGGATGTCCTGGATGACTTTTACACCAGGAAGGTCTGAGCACGCCAGCTCCCAGAGCACAGCAGAGCTTGTGGGTTTTCACTGGTACAGCCGGCCCACCTTCTGCCAGCCCCACGCTGAGGAGGAACAGCAGGGCCCTTGGGCACGTTTTCAACTGGCTGGGGGCAGGTGACCATTACCTCTTTCCAGCACCCACTGGAATAGCAGGAGAATGCACATCCATCTTCAGGGCTGGCCTTCCTTATAAACGCACCACATGGTGCCCCTGTCCCTGCACACATTTCCCGTCTCCCATAGAGGGGTTGGGCTGGGGCCATGCTGTCCCAGAAACTTTGCCAGCGCCAGCGGCCTGGAGCAGGGTGGGCCCTGAGCCTGTCAGTGAGGCCTCCAGAAGGAAGGATGCCCAGCTGGGTGCTGGCAGGCATCAGAGTGCCCCCCTGCAGGGTGGCACGTGGGATCCTGTCCCCTGTCTGCCTGTCTCTCTGCAGACCTGACCCCACACAATCCTCGCCTGCTGTCTCTTGAACTGCTGCAGGAGCCCCAGGACCTCCAGGTGCAGGGCCTGGAGACACACACAAGGAGAGATGCCTGAGGGGCTGGGGGCCAGGCAGTGGGACAGGAGCCATGGAGAGGGAAACCGAGGCAGAAGCTCATGCCTCAGCCACTTGGGGCTGTGTGCCAGAGCCAGGCATTTCCTCTCAGTGTCCTGTCAGTGCCCTTGCCACAGCGGGGGCACGTGCCCCCAGCCTCACCATTCCAGGCCTGGAATCAGTTCAGGTGTTCCCAGAGCCATCCTCTGATGAGTGGACTTCAGCTTGGACGAATGACTCTAAAACGATGGGGTGCGAGGAGGGCACAGCAGCGACTCATTTCTCAGGGCCTCACTGCAGTCTTCATCCACGTGAATGTCATTCCCACCATCCGCACCTTTCTCTCCTGCTGTTTTCCCCTCCTTGTGCCACACTGTTTTCTGTGTTATGACCGTGTGTTCAGAACCATCACTGCAGCGGCCACAGCCACTCCGCCAGTGCGTCTGTGCACCTCCCCGTCCATGCTCCCTTTGTTTGCCATCTGTGCTGCTCGAGAGTGTTCGCTGCTGGGATTTAATGCTGAAGCAAGGGCCTTTCTTTCCACAGCTTGTCCCCTTTATTTTCTCAGGATACATTTCCAAGGCTTTGATTAGGATGAAAGGACGCTATAGAACATAACGCTCTTGGTACATTGAGCCAAATCTTGGTACAATTAAAGGGACCATGACAACGCATACCACCCCTCCCCGCAGTGGTGTGTAAGGGGCTGCCCTTGCATGCCTGCCAGCACTGGGCATTTAATTAAGTCTCATTCATTTCATGGGTAGGAAGCGGAACCCCACGGGAGCAGCCACACCGTGCATATATCTAGTTCACACACACCGAGCCCCACGTCCCAACGAGGCAGACAGAGGGAGAAATGGAAAGGTCTCTCTACAGGGTACGAGCAGAACGTTCCCCATCCATGCTGAGCCCCTCATGCTGACAGCCCATCTATGCAGCCCCCAAGACTCCCAGCCCCTTTGTCACGTGCATCATTCAGGCCACGTGCACAAAACACAGATGGGAGACTTAACAGTGATTTCAAGACTTCTGAGAGATATTGTAACAATAAACAATTGTCCCATCATCACTGCCTTTTTTAAAAAGTGTGATATGAGGTCAGGAGATCGAGACCATCCTGGCTAACATGGTGAAACCCCGTCTCTACCAAAAATACAAAAATTAGCTGAGTGTGGTGGTGGGCACCTGTAATCCCAGCTACTTGGGAGGCTGAGGCACGAGAATCCCTTGAACCTGGGAGGTGGAGACTGCAGTGAGCAAAGATCGTGCCACTACACTCCAGCCTGGTGAGACTCTGTTTAAAAAAAAAAAAAAAAAAGTGTGATAAAATACACATAACATAAAATGTATCATTTTAACCCTTTTTAAGTGACAGTTCAGTGACATTAAGTACCTTCATATCGTGGTGGAACTGTCACCTCCATCCCTCTCCAGAAATCTTTTCTTCTTCACAAGTGACACTCTGTTCTCCTGTCCCACCCCCAGCCCCTGGCACTCGCCGTCCCACCGTCTGCCTCTGTGAACGTGATGACTGTAGGTGCCTCCACAAGTGGGGTCACTCAGTGTTTGTGCTTCTGTGTCAGGCTCATTTCACTTAGCATGACGTCCTCAAGGTCATCCGTGTTGCCGCAGGCTCAGAACCTCCTTCCTCTCTGAGGCTGACTCCTGCCCCACTGTGTGGAGAGGCGTTTTCTCCATCCATTCGTCACTGATGGACGCTTGGGCTGCTGCCTCATTTCTTTTTAAAAATTATTTGTGGACATCCAAACAATGGAATATTGTGAGGCAATTTTTATAAAAATGAATGAGGCAGCCCTGCCCTGCCATGGAAAGGTCCTCAAAACGCATTGTTAGTGAAGAAAGCCCAGTGCGGGGGAGTGTGGACAGTATGCTACCTTTTTGTGTAATACAGACAGAAAAGGGGTTATGTGTTTACATGTCCTTGTCTTTGCGTAAAGAAGCTACAGAAAGACTAGAAACTAATAAAAGCGTCACTTACAGGTGGAGCGAGGGACCCTCGTTACATGGCTGTTTTTGCACACAAGGAACGTGATGCTCTGATCACTCTGCACACTCCCTGACCCCAACTCAGTCACTCCCCACTACACTTCCAGGAGCCACTGCCTGGCTCCTGACACCTAAGCATATACTCCCATGATCACACCACGTTGCCCCCCGCTCCGCCGAGCCTCTGCACATGCTGGTCAGTCTGTCTGGCATGTCTCTCTGCCGATTGCATCCTGCCGTCAGCCCTCAGTGCAGCCACCCTCACCCAGCCCATTCCAGGCAGGCTGGAGCTCCTGCTGGAGGGAGGAGGAGCTGGCTGTCCCTGGCGGATGGAGGAGCAGCAGTGTCCTCTGTGTCCCCAGCTGTCCTCATGCAGAGGCCAGAGGTGGGCACCTGGCCTGTCTGCACCAGCACGCCTGCAGGGAGGGGTGGGAGTGGTGGGGGAGCCCGCTGGTAGCAGCAGCTCTGACCTCACCTTCTCTTAGGGGCCAGGACATCCACCGCAGTGAGCACAGAGAGTGGTCACCCCCTTTCCCTCACAGCACGCCTCCCGTGGGGCAGTCTCTGCACAGCTCTGCCTCCCTTACCAGCTCCCTGAGGTCGGGCTTTGTCCCCATTGCCTGGAATGGAGCCAGGAGTCACCCCATGCATACACGCATGAATGGATGACCCTTGGCAACCACAGGAAAAAACTGAAGGCTGCGGCACAAGGATAAGCCCATTCATTGAGACCCAGACCTGGACCCAGCTGGTGATACGATGGGTGATTGGAGGTCGGAGGACCACTGGCAGCCCAGCCCCTCTCTGGGCATCCCTGTGGGTCACAATAGTTCAGCAACCACCACCACCCCTGGCTCCAGCGAGAGCTAGTCGCTCCAGAGCAGAGCTGGATCTGAACACTGCTCCCACCTCCCATGTGCCCAGCACCTGGGTCCAGGCCAGGCCCCAGGTCCCCTGGGAGCCTCCTGGCTGTCTCTTTAAAGTGGCAGCCTCCTGGCCTCCTTCAGAAAGGCCCCTGCATGGCACCTCCCACCATCCTGCAGAGGCTTCCAGAGCCACCTCCACCCTTGCCACTGGCTTGTCAAGAAAATGGGGCTGGGATCTGGGGCAGGCCCAGCGTTGCAGGGTGAACAGGTGCCAGGTGTCCAGCAGGAGACAACGGACCTCCCAGGCTCACAGGTTTTCTATCTTGTGGAATCAGGCTGAGCTGCCGGGCCCTGGGCAGGAGGCAGAGCAGCGTGCACCCTGCAGCCGGCCCATCCCGCAGCTGTCCCCCTCCCACTGAGCATGTGCAGCTTCCTGCATGCCCACCTGCTCAGCCGCCTCCCCCTGGGACAGACAGGAGGTGATTTTGTGAAATTTTACGGTTTCATTGGCTGAAAATTGAACACTTACAGCATTGTCAGGGAGGCGAAAATAAGCTGTCTGTCACCATGGCCAGGACTGTCTGGGCTGCTGTCCACACCAATGCCTGAGCCCTTCCCATGCTGTAACCCAGTCCCAGCACCTCCCACACCCACATGGCCACGGGACAGCCCTCTGAGGGGCTCCCTCTGATCCCCAGTGTCAGCTCTGACCCACCACGTCCCTCTGTCTCTACTCCCAGGGCAGGGTCACTCAGAGTGCTGCAAAGGAGAAATAGGCCAGGGTCAGGGTTTGCCATCGGGGCAGCAAGGACGGCATGAGCAGGGGAGCCTCAGAGTCCATAGAAGACCCTGCAGTGAGCTGGCAGGACTCCACGATCAAGAATGTAGGGGCTGTCTAAACAGTCACAGGTTTAGCCAGGATGCGTCACTGTGAGGGCTCCTGGGCTTTCAAGGAAGACTGGCCTAGAGGGGTAAGTGGAAGAGCTTCTGAGAGTAAGCATGGGCTCCCTGCAGGTGGGTATGGACACCTGCTGCTGCCAGGCCCGTCACTCAGAGCAGGGTCACAGAGGATGTGCTCTGGCCTCTGCCTGGAGGTTTGGGTAGAGAAGACACTGTAACGGCTGCAGCTGGCCTTTCCCTGTGCCAGGTACTGACAGCAGCACCCAGGCACCCAACAAGGCTGACAAGCAGAATCTGCTGATGCCCACCAGAGGTCAGGTGCAGCCTTGGTGGGACGCAGGGAAGGCTTCACCGAGGACGAGGCATTTCAGCCATACCTGGAGGGATAGGGGAGTGAAGATGGTGGGAGAGCCTTCCTGCAGGAGGGAACGGCATGTGCAGTGGTTCAGAGTTGGAGAAGGCATTTGGAGGAGAGAACGTGGCTGGTGCCAAGAGCAATGGGGTGTGATAGGCGGTGAGGATGGACAGGTCAGCTAGTCCAAATCACAAAGAGCCCAGAATGCCAGGTTAAGGAGGACAGCAGTTTTGACTGTACCTGAGAGAACCCCAACTTAAAGAGGCACATGTGATGGAGAAGTCCATGGAGCAGCTTCTGTGCTCAGCACAGCGACACTGTGCTCAGGAATGTGCCCACTTTCCTGCCACAATGGCCCCAGTAGCGTCGGGCATACATTCCACCAGCTCAAGGACTCCAGGGGGAAAGAAAGCCTCCAAGTGCCACATAAGTTCTGGGATTGCAGCTGAGCCCCCCTAATTTGGATGGGGCCAATCCCTGAACCAATCTTTGTGGCCAGAAGCAGGGGGATTAGGCTGATTATCCAGGCTTGTGAAAAACAACCTTCGTGGAGGGGTGCCGGGGGGAAGAATCTAGAAGAGGCCTGCCCCTGAGTGGGGCAAGAGGAGTAGACAAGAGATGGGTCCTGCAGGAGAGTTGAGAGGCCATGAGAAGACGGAGAATGAAGGCTGTGCTGTGAGGAAGGGGCCCTGACAATACTCCCAGGAAGTGACCACTGGACTCAAGCTGGCACAAAGTGGCTGTGGGGGGAGCCTGCCCAGCCAGGAGCCCCGGGACCAGCAGCTCCCACTCAGGTGCACCCAACTCAGGTGTGCCCCCACTCAGGTCCTCACTGCTCCTTGCCATTGCAGGCAGACATGCCACAGACGCTGAGTGCCTCCGACATGGTCACCCCAGGCAGCCTCAGCCCACCCCCCACCGAGCCCACAGATGGCGAACAGGCTGGGCAGCCCCTCCTGGATGGAGCGCCATCCTCAGCCTCCCTGGAAACACTGATCCAGCACCTGGTGCCCACAGCCGACTACTACCCCGAGGTGGGTGATCCACCCAGCGGGCAGGAGAGTGGGCTCTCCTCCACCACGCACGGGGGGCATCAGGGTTGGGCGTGACCTTGGGCCAGGGTACAGGGCCAGCTGGGAAGCATGCCCCTCCTGGTGCCCTCCTGAGCCTGTGCCCTCTTTCTCGTGTGTCCCCCAGAAAGCCTACATCTTCACCTTCCTGCTGAGCTCTCGCCTCTTCATCGAGCCCCGGGAGCTCCTGGCCCGGGTCTGCCACCTGTGCATCGAGCAGCAGCAGCTGGACAAGCCGGTGCTGGACAAGGTGAGGCGGAGGGCAGGCCAGGGGGTCTCAGAGTGTACCAGCACTGCCCTGCCATGCCCTCAACGCATCAGCCTCTCGGGGAGGCAATGATTGTCCCCGTTTTCCTGACAAGGTGGCTACCGGGTGTTTCCACCTTGTCTGAGGCCCAGAGCCAGAAGGAGCAGAACAGGACCTTTAACCTCCATGTAGTTTTCCAGTGCCCGACGGGAACCCTTGAGCCCATTAAGCCCAGACCTGAGTATCCGGAGCCCGGTCAGTAGGACCCATCTGTGGCCGGGAGGGCCTGCTGCCTCTGGTGGGCTTCCTTCCCCCAGCACATCCGCTCCACCTTCCCAGTCCTGGCCGGGTCCTGCGGGCTGCCTCTATTGCACACGCGTCGGTAGGGCTCTACCGCTAGTGGGAGAGACCCAACTTCAACCCGCCTGAACCAAAAGGACTTAGCTGGCCCGTGTACCTGCCCTATCTCAGGGACCGCTGGCTCGGGCCTCACACCACAGCACTGCACCGTGGCCTGTCTCCCTCCCGCCCTCTGCTGCCGCTTCCCGGGGCTGGCCTCCCTCGGGCTGGCTGGTGTGGCGCTTGGCCGCCTCCACCGCACCAGGCTCACCTACCACCCTTTCCGGTCACGTGGAAGCCTCAATTCCTTTTCTCTACTGGCCCAGTGAGTCTCCTCATTGGCGTATCCTAGGTCACGTGGCCACCTGTGAGCCAATCACTGTGCACGATGGCGTATGCCTGCTCTGATTGGTCGGCACAGACCTAGACCCACCCCTGGGGCAGGGTCCCCTGCTCTGAGGACTCCCCACTCCCCGCAGCGCGAAGACTCACCAGGGAGGATGGAGCCGTCAACCGCAGAAAGGCCAGAGCAAGAGATGGCCCTGCCCAGAAATGTGTCCGTCCCCCCTCCTCTCCCCGTGGGCGCAGAGCAGGATCGCACCCCCCTCCTCCTCCCTGGCACAGAGAGGGCACGAGGCCCTGCCTGCCCCGGGCGGCCAGACCCGCAAGGACGCGCAGTGAGGCTCACGTGCCCACCCGGCGCCCCTCACGAGCGCGGTGCCCCTCGCTTGCCCGTAGGCCCGGGTCCGGAAGTTCGGCCCCAAACTGCTGCAGCTGTTGGCCGAGTGGACCGAGACCTTCCCAAGGGACTTCCAGGAAGAGTCGACTATCGGGCACCTTAAGGACGTCGTGGGCCGCATCGCCCCCTGTGACGAGGTGGGCAGCTGGGCGGGGGTCGCGTCACCCTGGGTCCCTCCCGTCCCAGGCCTGCGCCTGTTCCCGGCCCGCACCCCAGGGCCCTCATCTCCCCACCCTGCACACCACGGCCCGTCCAAATCCAGCCGCTTTCTGGCCTATCAAGGAATCAGGCACTGCCGAGCTGGGAGGGAACGCGGAGTCTGGTGACCTCTCCCTGACTGCTCTCACCAATGGCATCAGATGGCGGGTGAGGGGGGACCCATTCCTGGGCTTTTGGGGCCAGGTGGCCAGGCTGTTGGCCTCTGACCTACTAGGCGGGGCTGGCAGAGCCCTGTCCTGGGCCTTGGCCACGGAGACCTACCCCCTCCTGCCCCTGCCCCACTTCCCGTGCAAGAAGGGCTGGGCTGGTTGTCAGTGCTGCTAGGCAGGGACCTGCAAATCAGGGCCAGGGAAGAGTGTCTACAGGATGAACAAAAAAACAGTAGCAAGGAAAATGGCCACATCTGTCCAAACAGATTTTCCTGAGATCCTCTCTGCCTCCACGGGTAAGCTGCAAACCTTCAGGGTAGGGGCAGAGGAGGGGACAAGACCTCCCCCTGCAGTTAAACCACACCAGGTAAACACGGCCCTTGCCCTCAGGAACCCCAGCGGCTTGGGAGGCCTTAGGTGTGCTGGGCATCAAGTGCTGCTGTGGCCCACACCTGCTTTGCTCTCCCAGCTGTGTTACTCTGAGGAGAACACTGAAGGGTCTCCAAGCCTCACTTCCCTTATGGGCGAAAGGAGGACAAAAATCTTCACCTCCCAGGATTATGGAGCTAGACGTCTCCTGGTGTGTTTAGAAGGGGCAAGTTTATCAGCATCCCAGGGCGCCACTGTGGGCAGCACTGGTGTAGCATTACCTGGAAGGGGGAAACGTGGGCGGGGGCACATGTTGACCGTCCTGGAAGGAAATGGAACATGGCAAGCTGGTAGCTGGTGACATGCCGCAGAGTAGGTCTGGACATGGCAGAAGAGCTGTGTGTGAGAAAAGGGAAAACTGCCAAGACAGGCTGGGCAACAGGAAGCCAAACGCCCACAGCAGACATCACTCAGGCTCTGAGGGAGGCACTGCCCGGGGTCACTTCACACAGCAGGCAAGTGACTCAGAACTGAGCAGGCAAGTTCTGAGGCTCAGTGAGGTGAGAGTGGTTTCCTCTTCCTCCTCCCCACACTTCTCCCCTCCTCTGTTCTGCTCCTCATGGCCTCCTCTCCCTCCTCCGCATCCCCTAATCCATCTCGAGATTGTGACATTTGGCTTAGGATGCAGCACAGAACAGGGCCAGGGAACAGTTGATGATTGGACGGGGGGGGTGGGGACAGCGGAAACGGGATGGGGTGCTGGCTGGCCGGCTGGGAAGACATTTGGCTACTTTTATAGATGAATGTGGGAAAGAATAGGTGACTGGGTAATTGGATAGGCAGGTGGATGCATGGGGTAAGTGGATGTGGAAAGATTAATGGAAAGAAGAGAGGGAGAAATGTAGGAAGGGTGGACAGGTGGGTGGGTGGATGGGTGAATGCTAGAAAGGAGGAAGCAAGGGTAGATGCGTGAATTGACAGTTCTGTTGGGGGGTTGGGGGTCACTGTAAAAGAGGTGGGTGATAGCAGCTGGGTGAAGAGATGGGGACAGGTGGATGGGGATGGATGAGTGAAAGTGAATGGTGGACCGATGGGTAGGCAAGTGGATTTGTGAGTGGGCAGATGTTAGAAGGAAGGAAGGGGAGAGGAGTGAACTGATGGATCTGGGGTGGGTCACTGTATAAAAGGGGAGGTGGGTGGTAGCACGTGGCTGGAGAAGAGGTGAGTGTGGGGATGGTGGGTGCTGGGTGGATGGTCTACAGGGGGTGAGACCCCAGTCTCCTGTTTTGTTCTCTTTGACCACCAAGGGTCAGCAGTGAGGTCTGTCCTATGACCAGGCAGATTTGTCCTGCCCGATGTTGGAGCCATGTCTTGGTGGTGGGGCTGGGGTAAGCCCTGGCCTGGTTCCCCTCGGGAAACTAGTAGCACCTATCCACCTGGAGAACGCACAGGTCTGTCACCAGGCTGTGTAGTGTGGACTGGAATAGGAGTTCCCCAGTCCCAACCTAGGCCCCGGCCAGTAGTGCTTCCCCATGTCTCTGGTGACCTCAAGTTGCCCTTCCACAAAAAAGCATGCACCCCAAAGAGGACCTTCTCTGGGCACTGCCTCTCCTCACTGGGCGCTGCTGTGGACTGTGGGTTGTTCCCCTCCTGGCGCAGAATGGTTTGGGATGGAAGAGCCCTGGAGCAGACTGATGAGGCAGGGCCTGGGACCCAGCTTGAGCCCACCCAGATCCGGACTGGGAAACCACAGCTGCGTGACCTCAAGCAAGGTGCTTTGCCTCTCTGAGCCAGTTTCCCTATCGGTAAAACAGGATAATACCTGTCCCCACCACACAGCTTTGCAGCGGGGAGTCCCTGAAGTCAGGTGTGTGCTTGCTTCAGCACTCACTAAATGAGGGCTGTGAGGAGAACAGATGCTTCCCCAAATCAGGCATAGGAGCGCTGTTTCTTAAGTTTTACAGAACTTTCCTTGTGAAACATTTCAAACATACAAAAGTGAAGAATGGTTACCATGCACTCCTCTGTCCTCATCACCCAACTCCAACAATATTTTGCCGAACTGGTTTGTCCTGTCCTCACACACATTTTGCTTTCCCACAAGTTAGCTGTAAGCAAACCATAGACATAGGCTTTGCTTCCAAAATATTTCGGCATTATCTTTTTGAAAGATTTCTCACACAAGGGTGGGGTGGAATAAAATGATAGAAAGTGCTGTGTGCAAGATATTGAGGTGAGCACGGGTCTTTTCAGAGCTGTGTGTCTTTGGGCAAGTTACTTAATCTCTCTGGGCCGTGTCTTTCTGTAAAAGGGAGGGTGATCATTCTTCCCTCACAGGGCTGTGAGGGAACCACAGAGCTCAGGGCTGCAGAGGAGACAGCAGTGGGCTCCCCATCAGAGTGACAGTGAAAGGTGGCACCTTCCTCTTTCCCCCGCCCACTCCCATGTCGTCGCTGTGCTCCACACCAGCTCTCGGCAGCTGGAGCAGCACTGGAGAGGGACTGAGGAGGCCATTCTCCATGACCGTGGTTCTGGGGAGTCCCGGGAAGCCTTCCCAGCATCGGGCCACCCTGTGCTAGGCAGCAGACCCAGAGGAGTGTCATGGCAGCCCAGCCTTTGTGGGGCTCCCGGTAGGTTGGACGCAGTAGTTAGAGCTCAGGGAGGCCAGTGCCAAGGCTGAAGGAGGCTCAGGGAGCCAGGGAGGACCCCAGTGCTCTGGCCATACCCACTGGGCCGGCCACAGAGGAGGCCGACTCAACAGGCAGCCCCTCTCCGAGGACTGGTCTTGCTTTTTTTTTTTTTTTTTTTCTGAGACGGAGTCTCTCTCTGTCACCCAGGCTGGAGTACAGTGGCGTGATTTGGCTCACTGCCACCACCACCTCCTGGGTTCAAGCAATTCTCCTACCTCAGCCTTCTGAGTAGCTGGGATTACAGGCGTGCGCCACCACGCCCAGCTAATTTTTGTGTTTTTAGTAGAGACAGGGTTTCACTATGTTGGCCAGGCTTGTCTCGAACTCCTGACCTCGTGATCTGCCCGCCTCGGCCTCCCAAAGTGCTGGGATTACAGGCATGAGCCACCGCGCCCGGCCTGGTCTTGCTTTCTAACTCGCCCACACGGACTGTCTGGGGAACTGACCACTGCCCTGTGAGGCTCCCTCTGTGGCAGAGGTGGCAGAAAGCTGACATAGAGGACAAACCAATGGAGGGAGCAGACCCCTAGGAGCCTCACGAGCTCCTGCGTCGGCTTTCTGCCACCTCTGCCTGTTATTCAGTAGGCAGGAGGACATCAGCCCTAGGCTGGCTCAGGAGGGAGTCTCCTAGAATTTCAGAGAACAAAGGCCAGTGCTCATCTAGCCTCACCTGGTCAGGGACAGGGGTTCCAGCTGTGAAATGCCCAGTCCAAGAGAGCTTGGAGGCACCTGGAGAGCCGTGGCTGCCGCCCAGGCCACCGTCGGACGACTCCGCATTCACACCCGGCTCTATGCACGCAGCAGATGGCTTGTGGAAATAGAAGGAAACGTGGCTCCAGACCACCCAGCCTCCCGGGCAGCCTCCCAACTATGATCAGTGCGGAGAGAGGGCTTCAGCCCGAGGCAGGAGGGGCAAAGTGCTGCTCCACCCCAGCACGGCCTGGTGCTTCATAAACATGGACCCACGATAGTGACGAGGGGATGCCTTGACATGCTCGGTGGTTCAGGTCTCTGGCCCTGCCCTTATCTACCAGCGAGATCTCCAAGCTCCTATCCACGAGTGTGGAGAAATCAGTGAGAAAATGAGAGGAGGCCAAGGAGCAGGGCAGATAGCATAACCACACTCAGAGGGGGCATAGAAGAGTCAGGAAAGAACAAACAAGCTAGAACCTAACATCACTGGAAAAATCGAAATAAATTAGCAAGCAGGAAAGGATGATTATTTGGAATGAATATTGGTTCATTCAACAGTAACAAATCTTGCTAAAGTATCTGTGTTTTTAAAAAATAAGGCAATCTCGTGGCCCTATCAAGGGGTAGGCACAGACACCCTGCAGCCTTGATTTTGGCACGGGCCTGCAGTCCGCCCTGACACCCTGCTGGAGAGAGCGTCTGACTGTCAGCAGGTGAAGGCGGTGTTTATCCACGCATTCAGCAGACGCTGGTGGACACCTCCTGTGAGCCAGCTACGGCCCTTCATGAACACAGGGCAGCCCGCAGTTGGCTGTGTGGAGCTTGTGGTCCAGGGAGAGGAGATGCACGTGAACAGAATCATTTCCCTGACAGCTCTAAAAGTGGTGTGGCAGAAGGGCTCACAGCACTGAACACCAATGGCCCATCTGGGGAAACAGCACTTGAGCTTCGGTCCAGTGGATGAGGAGAACGTGCCAGAAGGGAGAAAGCTGTCCAGATCCTGCCGGGGACATGGGGAGTGGGGACATGGGGAGGGTGGGAAGGAGTCAAAGGGGCGGAGGAGTGACCTGTGTCCAGAGCACAGAAGGGGAGCAAGGGCGCATAGAGGCCACCAAGCCTGGCCAGAGCTGACCTCGGAGCCTCAGAGTCACGCCAGGGCTCCTATCTTTGCACAAGCCATGGAGGCATTTTCAGGAACAGGGAGGCAGCGATCAGATTTGCATTTTGAACAGACCTCTGTGGCTGCAGGGTGGAGAGAAACCGGCGTGGATGCATTGGGGGCATTAAGAAGGCCAGTGCAGCAGAGAGATGACAGTGGCCTGGGCTCCAGAGACAGTGGTGGGATGCGCAGAAATAGAAGAAAATGAACTAGAGAGGGGTGGTGATGGCCTAGAGGGGCATGAGGGAGAGGGCGGGGTCGAGGATGGCACCAAGCCTGTGTGTCTGGTGGCCGACGCGCTATCCACCAACACTGGGAATACCAGCTTTGGACAAGGAGAGTCGACCTCCATTTGCTGTGCTGGGCAAACAGAGGACCATGGGCCATATGACGGACCGCCGCCCATATGACTCTGGAGATCAGAGGGAGACTGCAGGTGTGAAGCAGAACAGCCAGGAGCTAAGTAAGAGTGAGAAGAGAGGCCTAGACAGAGCAGGAAGAACCCCGAACCCCAGCATCTCACGACAGTGAACACAGGCAAGCCTGCAGACAGCCCAAGGCAGGAGCAACCAGGAGGCTGAGGCGGAGGTGGCCAAGGAAGACGCAGCCTGAGAAACGGCCACTGGCTTTGGTGACAGGAGGGCCCAACGAATTGACTGATGGGAGTGGCAGCCAGGTGAAGTGATTCAGGAGTGAGTGGGGGTGAGGAGACGAAACAGCAGGTGTAGCCACTCGTGGGACTCTGGCTTTGCCTGGGAGAGAGACAGGAGGTCCGTGGAAGGGCCAGGGCCCACAGGGGACTGACCGTGCCCCTCAAGGCTGGCAGTGGCTGCGCCCCACTCCCCATCTTCCCAGCACTCAGATGAAGCCCTGGGAGGCAGTGTGCCGACCACAGTTTTGGACACAGCCTTCCTGAGAGGGGTCGTTCCTTCCATGGGCCCCCTGCCCCCTACCCCGCAGAGGAAGCAGGCCACTTCAATTACCCAGCGTGGAGCCTAGTTTCCCTGGCCTCTGCTCCCAACAGTACTCATCCAGGTCACCCTATGCGACTTCTTTGATAGGACCACCGTCGAGACAATGGGGTCATTTCCTCCCACACTAGAATAACAGCTCCACAGGGCTGCAAGGTCTGTGCTGCCGCCGCTGTGCTATGAGAGCCCAGCCCTGCTCTGGGCACACAGTGGGTGCGCAGTAAGTGCTCACCCCCACCAGCCAGCTCAGACGCACGGGCTCTTGCTTTGGGCCACATCATGGGCTGGGTACAGGGATGAAAGGCCGTGGCCACCCCTCAGGGGCACCTCCTCTCCCACCGTCAAGGAAAACCTAATTATTTCCCCTCGGAAACCCCTATTTCCAAGGAAGTGCCATCAGACTGGCTGGGTTTGTTAAGGTAGACATCCTCATGTCCTCAAGGGGTTTGGTCTAACTCAGAGTGAGATGCAACCCCCTACAGCCAGGAGCCGGCCTGGGCACTGGCAGAGGCAGTGGTGGGAGCTGGAGCCTGGTCCCCAGCGATGGCGCACCTTGACTGGACAGGCTGCTGCTCCCAGAGGCCTCGGGAAATAACGAAGGGTGGCAGTCGGCATCATCAGGTCACTTCAGAGATTGCAGGGAGTTTTCCTTCATGCGATTTTGAGACACACAGAGCCTGCAGTGAGCGGTGGGCAGGTGTGGCATCTGCATGCTGGCTGTGAGGGTCTGGGGGCTCCGATTGCTCTGGGGGGGCCTCAGCCAGGGCCCTGGGGTGCTGCTACTGTCTGAGGACGCTGGAGCCCTGTGCTCTGGTGGCGGGGTTGGGAGTCGTCTGGCACTCCTATGGCAGTGGGCAGCTGTGGCAGAGCCTCAGATGGGAGGAATGGGACAGGACGTGGCTTAACCCTAAGCCTAACTCTCAGAGCACGGGCCAGGTGCAGAAGGCGCCCACTGGTTAGCCGGGCAGTTGTCCGACTCTTCTATCTGTTGCCCATGGAAGGAACGACCCCTCTAAGGAAGGCTGTGTCCAAAACTGTGGTCGGCACACTGCCTCCCAGGGCTTCATCTGAGTGCTGGGAAGATGGGGAGTGGGGCGCAGCCACTGCCAGCCCTGGGGGGCACAGTCAGTCCCCCGTGGGCCCTGGCCCTTCCACTGACCTCCTGTCTCTCTCCCAGACAACAGCACAGCTGGTCGGGGAAGGCCGAGCTGGGCCTGGGAGATAACAGAGGCCCCATTAAAGCCAAGCCAAATGCCAGTCGTCTGCCCAGGGCAGGGCCCATGCCATGTCTCCCGCCTCTCTCCCTTTCTCTGGCTTCCTGGCCGTGCCCACCCCACTCTACCCCACTGCCCCAGACAGCTGCCCCCGGCCCCCGTCACCCTCCCTGATGTGTGCTCCTCTTGGCTCCCACCCACAGATGGGAAGCCCTGCAGCCTTCACCCCAGATCCCTTGCCAGGTGGCCCCACCCTGGCCGGGATTGGGTCCTGTTTCAGGGTAGGGGCAGGTCCTGGCCCCTGCGCTGGTACCTGGCCTTTTCTCCAGAGACCCTGAGGAAAAGACCCTCCCTTTGGAGCCCAGGTGGCTGCCTGGTTCCAGTGTTAGAGATGCAGAGATGAGTGTTCAGTCCTGAGCGCCCTTCTTTCCACCCACCAGGCATACCGGAAGAGGATGCATCAGCTCCTACAGGCTCTGCACCAGAAGCTGGCGGCTCTGCGCCAGGGGCCAGAAGGTCTGGTGGGTGCCGACAAGCCCATCTCCTACAGGACCAAGCCACCAGCCTCCATCCACAGGGAGCTCCTTGGTGTCTGCAGCGACCCCTACACACTGGCCCAGCAGCTGACCCACGTGGAACTGGTAAGCCGGCCCAAACCACCTTCCTCACCCGGGATTCAGCAGGACACACACAGATACACTGTGCCCTCCCTGGCTTCCCAGAGCAGCCCCACAAGCTTGTGAAGGAGGCCCTGGCCTAGCCTCGAGCATGCACTGGGCCCCTTGTGGATGCAGAGGCCAAGGGCCCACCCCAGGGAGAGGGAGGCTGGGGCGGGTTCTTCCCTTTGAGACTGAGGGTTGATGGCGACCTCCCTGCTCTCCAGGCACTCTTCAGCGCGCTCCCGTGCGCTCGCTCATGTCTCCATCACCTGGCCAGGCAGGCCCTGTACACAGAGGAAACTAAGGCCCAGAAAGGTGAAGCGACTTGCCAAAGTCACACAGCAGAAGGGACAGAGCCAGGGTTTGATTCTGACCCAGATGCCATGCTCCTAGCCACCAGCCCCTCCACCCCGCAGAGGAAGCAGGCCACTTCAGTTACCCAGCGTGGAGCCTGGCTTCCCTGGGCGTCACGCCTCATAGCATTGCTCCCTGCCCCCATGAACCGGGAAAGGAGGGGCTGCCTCCTCCAGGGAAGGCGCTGAGCTCTGTGACAACCTAAAACAGGGTCTCCAAGCCCCAGTGGGGAGGGCAGTTGCAGAGTGACTGTTGTGAGGAGGACTAGGGGCTGGGGCACCACGGCAGGCCCCCCAGTGGACACCCCCTCCCCATACCTTCCCTCTTTTACCCACTCTTCACCCTTCCCTGCAGGAGCGGCTGCGGCACATCGGGCCTGAGGAGTTTGTCCAGGCCTTTGTGAACAAGGACCCTCTGGCCAGCACAAAGGTAGGAGGCTCTTACGGGCTGTCCCAAAAGTGAGCCTCACCCAGTGACTGGCCGCTCTCCGGGGAGCCCGCGAGCCTTCTCTGGGCGAGCGCTGGAGTGGCCCAGAGTGGGACAGGTGGGCTCGGGGGGCCCTGCCCACTCCGCCACGCCCCTCCAGCTCGGGGGCGCACCACGACAACCGAGTCCCGAGTCCCCGGAAAGCCTGGACGTGCGGGACGTGGGGGTCACCCACCCAGCGAGGGAGGAGGAGTGGGCCAGGAACCAGGCCGTGGGCCGCGCTGCTCGGGTGGGCCAGGACCCTGGGCAGGGAGGAGGGTGGAGGGCCCCCTGGCGCGCTCCGGGACCCCGTGCGCCTTCCCGGTGCGTTTCGGTGGGCGCCGGTGCCCTCCAGCGGCCACGCGGGGAAGCGCGGGTTGCTGCCCGCTGCCCGGGATGGGTAAGGGAACTCCTGGGTCCCGGTGCTCAGGACACAGCCCACGCACCCGGATTTCGATCCCGCCCTTCTGGGAGCCCAACCAGCAGGGTGCCGGTGCCTCCCACGGGCTAAATCCAAGCCAGAATTGCAAACATTGTGCCTTCTGCCCTCACACCTAATAAAAGTACAAACTATGAGATTGCATTTTTCACTTCTCAGATAAGCAAAAATCACCTAGTAGGTTAGACACATTGTGGAAGACACACTCCACGTGGCTGCTGGGGTGAAGCTGGCGCAGCCACTTTGGAGGGGAGACTGGCACTAGCATCGACGCTCTAAATGGACTTTCTTGACCCCAATTTTCCATACCTACGAATTTATCCCACAGATACACACCCATGTACACGAACATGCACGGACGAAGATATTTGGGATAGACAATGTTTATTATGGCCAAACACTGGGGGCAGATTGCCTTGTCACCCATGGGGACTGGATTACAAATTATGAAACGTCTATAACTAGAATGGTGTGCAGCTGTGAAAGGGAATAAGGTGGACAGAACAACCTCCAAGACCTATCCCTCCAGGCACTGAGAGAAAACGGTAGAGGGAAGAGCAGGGGCGAGAGTGTGTGACCATTTGGGTAACAAAAAAAGAGGGTAACACAAAACCATGTATGTTGCCTGTGTCCGTCAGCACTCTCTAGGAATGCTGACTGCTCTGGGAATTCGGAACAACTGTGGTGCTGGGAGGCAGGAACGGGAGGGAGATTTTTTTTCTTTTTTTGAGACGGATCTCACTCTGTCGCCCAGGCTGGAGTGCAGGGGCGCGGTCTCCGCTCACTGCAAGCTCCGCCTCCCGGGTTCACACCGTTCTCCTGCCTCAGCCTCCCCAATAGCTGGGACTACAGGCGCCCACCACAACACCCGGCTAATTTTTTGTATTTTTAGTAGAGACAGGGTTTCACCGTGTAAGCCATGATGGTCTCGATCTCCTGACCTTGTGATCTGCCCGCCTCGGCCTCCCAAAGTGCTGGGATTACAGGCGTGAGCTACCGCGCCCGGCCGAGATTCTTGTAAGATTTTTTGTTTGGTTTGGGGCCATTTCCAAATATTACTTTTTTATTGTGAAATACATCAAGACGACACATGACATTTGTTTTATCCCCCTACTGTAGATGAACATTTGTGTGTCCAGCTTTTTGCTGTTATAAATATTCCCACAGTGGACATTCTTACACCCGCTGGTATACACGAGTGCACACTTTCTGTAGGGTGTCCGTTCTCAAAAGGCTCAGGATCCCTTTATACTCTTAAAAATTATTAAGGACCCCAATTAACTTTTGGTTATATGGATTATATTTATCAATATTTATATTAGCAATTAAGATTAGCTTTTTTTTTTTGAGATGGAGTCTCACTCACTTTTGTCACCCAGGCTGGAGTGCAGTGGTGCGATCTCGGCTCATTGCAACCTCCACCTCCCGGGTTCAAGCGATTCTCCTGCCTCAGCCTCCCGAGTAGCTGGGATTACAGGCATGCGCCACCACGCCTGGCTAATTTTGTATTTTTAGTAGAGACAAGGGTTCTCCATGTTGGTCAGGCTGGTCTCGAACTCCCGACCTCAGGTGATCCACCCGCCTTGGACTCCCAAAGTGCTGGGATTACAGGCATGAACCACCACGCCCGGCCTGACTAACTTATTGTGCTAACTTGCACCTCTGGTACAATGTCAAATAGAAGTATTGATAGCTGGCATCCTTATTTTATCCTGATTTTCAAAGGAATGCTTTTAACGTGTTGTCCCAATAGAGTATGATGTTTGCTACAGGATTTCTTGAGATGTCTATTATCAGCTTAAGGAAGTATCCTGTTCCTTCCTAGTTTTCTCAGAATTCTCATCATGAATGGTTGTTAAATTTCATTTATTTTTTCTGGATCTGTTACTCACATATTCTCTTCTCCTTTAAACTGTTAGCTGATTGTTTATATTAGTTTTTAAAATAAATGTTTCTTTTGTTTGTTTTGGGTTTTTTGTTGTTGTTGTTGTTGGTATTTTTGAGACAGAGTCTTGCTCTTTTTCCCAGGCTGGAGTACAGTGATGTGAACACAGCTCACTGCAGCCTCAACCTCCCGGGCTCAAGTGATCCTCCTGCCTCAGCCCCCCAAGTAGCTGGGACTACAGGCACATGCCTCCATACCTGGCTAATTTTGGTATTTTTTGTGGAGACAGGGTTTCTCCATGTTTGCCCAGACTGGTCTAGAACTCCTGAGCTCAAGAGATCTGCTTGCATTGGCTTCCCAAAGTGCTGGGATTACAGGTGTGAGCCACCTCACCTGGCCTAGTTTTTTATTGCTGTTGTTGTTTGAGACGGAGTTTTGCACTTGTTGCCCAGGCTGGAGTGCAATAGCACGATCTTCGCTCACTACAACGTCCGCCTCCTGGATTCAAGAGATTCTCCTGCCTCAGCCTTCCAAATAGCTAGGATTACAGGTGCCCACCACCAAGCTCAGCTATTTTTGTATTTTTAGTAGAGATAGGATTTCACCATGTTGGTCAGGCTGTTCCCGAACTCCCGACCTCAAGTGATCCACCCTCCTCGGCCTCCCAAAGTGCTGGGATTACAGGCGTGAGCCACTGCGCCAGGCTGTTTTTTTAATCAATGTTGAACCAACTTTGCATTTCTGAGATAAACGAAACTGGGATAAATGAAATCATTATCTTTTTCACACTTCCCTGGATTTGGTTTGCTAATGTTTTAGGATTTCTGCAACTATAATCGTCAGTGAGACTGAACTGTTATTTCCCCTTCTGATACTGTTCTTGTGTAGTCTTTGTTTCTCTTACCCTGATCTCTATTCTTCCTGAAAGACTGGAATTACTTGTTCTTGGAGCATTTTGTAGAATTAGCCAGTGGAACCATCTAGGCTTGGTATTTTCTTT